>NC_000017.11:5339595-5491111 GCF_000001405.40 Homo sapiens | reverse complement strand
CCTTTCTAAGGAGACTTTTCACTGGATTTAGGGTCCATCCAAATAATGCAGGATGATCTCCTTATCTCCATATCCTTAATTATACCTGTAAAGACCCCTTTGCTGAATAAGGCAACATTCACAGGTTCCAGGAATTAGGACATGGACCTATCTTCGGAGGGATCACTGTTCGACCCACTACAGCAGATTCTGAATAAGCTATAAATGTGAAAAAGATAGTGTTTTCAATTGAGTAAAAAGTCATACTGGAAAGAAATATACCATGGCATTATAGACAGCAG
This sequence comes from Homo sapiens, assembly GCF_000001405.40. Classification (NCBI taxonomy): domain Eukaryota; kingdom Metazoa; phylum Chordata; class Mammalia; order Primates; family Hominidae; genus Homo; species Homo sapiens. The sequence continues at coordinate 5,490,830 of NC_000017.11, read as the reverse complement.
AAAATAAAAAACCAAACCCTTTAAAACACATATATTTAATGTACAGAATTGGAAAAAGGACTTCTTGATAATAAACATATTTCATGTAAACACAAGCTTTCAATATCTATGAATATTTCATTGCAAATACACCCTAAGTTACTTCTTCTCTACATAAAGGAGAAACTCCAAGTTCTGCTCTTTAGGAAGACATGGAGGGCAAGCAATACCTTAGGAACAACCATTGCTATTTCTCCCCTTTCCTTGGGTGACCTAACATTTTACAGGGACTAACGACATAAAGAAATATTAGATTCCATTGAGTTTAAACACAAATTTCCCACTGAGGGCATTAAATATTTGATGCTTATGAGTGTGAATAAATAAATATTAGGTATAAGGCAGATTCCAAAACCAACTGAAGTATGAAAACAAATTGGCATAGATACCTAACAGTCAGTAAAATTAAATTTCACTACTGAGTATATGCTACATGCTTCCTTTTCTACTCCAGTGGGTTCTGCTTTTTTTGTCTAAGGTCTTCTGCTGGACTCTAAGACAGTCAATTGCTTAACATCACCAGGTTTTTTGTCAGGGGATTTATTTTGGAAATAAACCAACTTCTTTTTTATTAAAGATCAAGGTTGTCTTTTTTGCTACATGCTTCTTTCCACTACATATTGACTCCCTCATGAAAGAAAATTCACAGGACGAGAGCAAGTACTCTATGTTGGCTGTTCCGCAGTGTAATGACTGGTTAATAAAAGAGCCACTCAGCCTGGACAATATAGTGAGGCCTCGTTTCTGCAAAAAAATTAGCCAAGCATGGTGACACGCACCTGTGGTCCTAGCTACTTGGGAGGCTGAGGCAGGAGGATCACTTGAGCCCAGGACACAGAGGTTGCAGTGAGCCAAGATTGTGCCACTGAAATCTACTCTAACCTGGGTGACAGAAAGGGACCTTGTCTCAAAAACAATAATAATAATATTAAAGGAGCCACCCGTTTAATCCTTTTCTTGTCTGGTCTCATCCAAAGAGTAAGCCAAAATAATCAAGGTCACAAAGGACTTATGACCAAGGTGTAACTCTGCAAATATCTTTAACTGGTCATGGCTTCTTTGTTGGATCCCTTCCCACTTATTAGAAGACTCAGATGCTTCAGCCTAGTTCAAAGTAGTACACTTCATACCTCAGCAAAGTGGACCAAAAAAGAGGAAAACACAGAATACAAGAAAGAGTTGACAAAGCAAATCTAATAAAAAGTATGGTTGGTTTGAACAGTCACTGGTATGATTTGAACAGTCCTTATGGTTTGAACAGTCCTTATGATTCTACTTTTTGACAGGCTCCTCCTTTTGACTACTGAGCAATTAAGATATTTTCAGTCGTTTCGATTCCTTTTCCACATTGTCTCTAATGTTCTGTAGTTTTCTGGAGTTCTGAACCAGGGATACTAAACTCTCCCTAAAATCACTAGTCCCATGATCTCTGCCAACATTATGAAGCTCATCAAAGAAAGTCAACGTCTGTTTGAGTTTGGCCTGAACAATTTTTTGCTCTTCTAATTCTGCAAGAAGGGCCTGCTTAGTACATAATTCAGTCTTGTACTTCTCCTGTAACTGTTCAATTTCTTTCTGGAGATGCTGAAAATCTTCCTCACTATAAGGTGTCTCCTTACATTTATCTTCAGGAAGCAAGATGTTTGAGGGAATACGTAAAATCAGCTGCAAAAACAGTTGCTCCATTTTGCTAAAAAGGTTATCAAAATGTCCTTTCATGAAGCAAAGAAACTTCTCTGTGCATTTGCGAATCTGCACTGGGCTAATGTCACAGTCTGGGATGCCATCCAGCTTCTTCAGAATAACCTGTTCAACGGCCTGCATCACTTCAAATAGGTAGTCTTGAAATGCAATGTAGATCCGAAGCATGCACGTTTGTGGCGTGAAGCCAAAGAACTGGGCCTCGTAGGTCATTGGATCCACAGACATCTTGGCTTATTTTGCTATGTTGTTTTCAGTCGTGAAAAACCTGCAAATGTAAAAAGGAAATAATTCATTTGGAAAAAAAAAATCTTCTGCAGGAAGTAACCAATCACATTACAGATAGCAAACAAAGAAGCAAATCAATAAAAAATAAGGAGTTTGTGTTCCTTTATACCTGATGCCACTCCCACAACAGGATATAAACTCTTTGCCTCTCTGAGGCTCCTTCCATCAGCCTATACCCTCCCTTTTCCCCTCCTCGTTGTTCACTTCCCTTACCTGTGACTTTGGCACAGATCAGTCTTCTGAATTATCATCCTAGACAACTTTGAAGTCTAGACAGATGACTTAACCAATGCCCTAGAGACTCAGTTTCTTGAGCTTCAATGACCTATAGCTCCACCTTTTAGCCACCTGGCTCTTGATATTTGTAACTACTCTTCCAAACTGCTTCTACTTTTTGACTACTGCCTCCTACACAATTCTTCCAATTCTTACCCATATACTCATATTATACCCTAATCTTCAAGATTTACAGCCCCTCCACCCTCTCTTTCTGTTCTCAGCCTCTGCCACTTCTCTTCTTTCCTTATTCATTTTAGGCCTCATGATCTATCATTTTGATCACTCCGTTGCCAATGTCCTCAATTTGCTTGTCCTCCAGCCAAGCCATCTGAAAAAAACCCAATTAGAAGATGAGTAAGTCCCTTGTCAGCTTTATAACCCTGACATGTTTTTTCAAGGGTCTGCGAGTAATTCCTCTCAAATATAAACATCTAGGAAAATAAAACCCCTATCTCCTTGTCATTGTGGGAATTCAACCTAGGCATCTTTTTCTGAGATGAAATGATATTGCTTGTCATAGAAATAAGAGAAATTTTATTATTCCTTCAGATAAAGGCAATTAGCTAAAACAAACTGCTACTTCAATTATCAGGTGAATTTAGGACGCACTTTATGAAATAATTTGCAATAAGCAGTACAGTCAAATCTTATGGGAAGATAAGATGCAGCCAATCTTAAGAATTTATGTTTGTAGGCTGAGCACGATAGCTCATGCCTGTAATCTCAGCACTTTAGGAGGCCGGATGGACGAATCACCTGAGGTCAGGAGTTCGAGACCAGCCTGGCCAACATGGCGAAACCCTATCTCTCCTAGAAATACAAAAATTACCCAGGCGTGATGGTGGATACTTGCAATCCCAGCTACTCGGGAGGCTGAGGCAGGAGAATCACTGGAACCCGAGAGGCGAAGGTTGCGGTGAGCCGAGATTGTGCCACTGCACCCCAGCCTGGGCAACAGAGCGAGACTCTGTCTCAAAAAATAAAATAAAATAAAAATTTACGTTTGTAATGGTTAAATATGGAGTGGTTATAACTGTTTGGCTGTATATGTAAGGTAGGATTTCTTTCTGTTTTTCTTTTTTTCTTTTGAGACATGTTGTCGCTCTGTCGCCCAGGCTGGAATGCAGTGGCACGATCACAGATCACTGCAGCCTCAACCTCCCGCGCCCAAGCAATCCTCCCACCTCAGTCTCCCAAGTAGCCGGGACAACAGGTGCAGGCCACCATGCCTGGCTAATTTTCTTGTTGTTGTTGTTGTTTGAGACAAAGTGTCACTCTTTCGCCCAGGCTGGAGTACAGTGGTATGATCTCGGCTCGCTACAACCTCTGCCTCCTAAGTTCAAGTGATCCTCTTAGCTCAGCCTCCCAAGTAGCTGGGATTACAGGTGGGCGCCATCTCAAACAACAACAAAAAAATACACTTCCTTGATTAACTCCTTTCTTCGAATTCCCATTAGGACCTCTCTTCGGGCACTGACTGATGAACTTCTACCGCCTCATCTTCTCTGCTAGACTTAGAGTTCCTGAGAGCAGAATAAATGCGGCTTGATCAGTATTTGCCGATTCAACGCAGAGGTGCCCAGGTCATCTCGGCGAGTTGAGCTGTCTAAGACCCCGCGATCGCGCAGGACAGGACCCAGAAGCCAGAGCGCAGGAACTGCTTCCGGCCGGCTCCCGGCTTCCGTCGGGCCCCGCGCCCGCGCTGCATGCTGGGATCTTCAGGTCGGAGGCCGGGGTGAGGCCGACCCACAGGCCGCCTTGCTCCCTCGCGAAGACGCTTATGCCAGTCTCGCCCGTCCCCGCTCCTCCTCAGAGAAAATGCTGCCCCGCAGCACTTACCGGAGCGACCATGAGGGTGACGATTTGAAGCACACACAGGCTTCCCGCCACCTCCTTTAAACCGCCGCTGGCTTGCCAGGGACAGACGGCGCGGTTGGCTCCCCAAAATTCCGACTGATACGCGCCTCGGCGAGCGAAAGCAAACGCGGGATACTCTCGCGTTCCTGATTGGCTGGTTGTGGACACCTCAATTATGACAGAAAGGGGCCGGGCGGGAAAGTTAGCTGTGGCCGGCGGGGATTGGCAGAAGGAACCTGTACTTACTCGTTTTTCCCGGACGTTGGCTGGTGGAGAAGAGAGGGTGGGGAGATGGGGCGCTGGGGGGGGGCGGTGGCGACGCAACTCGTGATTGGCGGATGTGCGTTCCTTAGGTCTCTACGGATTGCGGTTGCTTGGCGTTGATTGGGCAGTCGCGGGAAAACTAAAGTGGGCGGGGGGCCTTTGGGCCCGCCCCGCCGCCGGGGCCTGCTGGCGGAAGGGGAAATGGGGTGGGTGGGGGGTGGGGCAGGCGACGGTGGGGAAGATGGCGTACCAGAGCTTGCGGCTGGAGTACCTGCAGATCCCACCGGTCAGCCGCGCCTACACCACTGCCTGCGTCCTCACCACCGCCGCCGTGGTGAGCAGCTGCAGTGCCACCTTCTCATTATCTGGGCTGGATATGACTGGGTCTTCAGGAAACTGGGGTTTGGGCCTCGGGGAGGCCCAGAGGGGCTGGTCCCGGGGATGGGTGGAGGCGTACAGGGATTACTCTGGGGTTCGAGTTGGCGCCAAGAATGCTTATCCAGTGACGCGAGAAGGGAGTGCTGCTTCATGGGGGGTCAGGTCAGTTTCTAAGAGATGAGCGCCGGACCTATAGCGGGTTAGGGTTGCGGGAGCCTCCCACCCAAGAAATGTGTCCGAGAGCTCTGCCAATGGCCAGGTGGTACCATGGTGACTAGTGAGAGGAAGGTCCGTTTAGTGAAGAAACAGGAATGGGGAAAGCAAGCTGGAAACTGTCGAGAGGGGAATGGCTTATAATAAAAAGGGTCTCTGGATCTAAATAAGGGGCTAGCTGGAGGTACCCAGCCCTAACGGTGGCAGGGTCTCCAGTCTCCGTTATTTCAAGTGAGTTTTGTTGTTTCATACAGCTGTTTCAGGTGGTGCCCATGTGGTGGGTAGATTCATAGCAGCTGTTTTTATTTGTCCTGTGTCTAAAATATCACCACCTGTCTGCCTCATTTCTTCATGTCAGCCTCAACTATTGCAACATAAAACAGACTTTTTTGTGTTAGGTATTGAGGATACAAAGAATTCTACCAATCCTAGAGAATTCTTTACCAACCTCTTCCTCTGGCCTAAGAAGAAAGGCTTAAAGGAAATCACGTCTAAGTGACCGAGAGTTGGAAATTGCTAGACCTACTAATTCTTTGTTGTAAATGATGAAATTTTGTTTCTTGATTTGCTTTAAGAAGCTCTTTTTCTATTTCAGCAGTTGGAATTGATCACACCTTTTCAGTTGTACTTCAATCCTGAATTAATCTTTAAACACTTTCAAGTAAGTGGTTCATCACAATAGTGATTAATGCTTCAGTTTCTTCTTTTTCTTACTGTTTAGTAGCAAATCCTGTTATACACTATCCTAAAAAAGAACCCAGTGGGGACCTTTGATTATAAGTTGCCTTGTCAGGATATAAAGCAGTGATTCTGCAGCCTGGTTGGACTTGAGAATCCCTTAGGGAACTTTGAAGAGATTCTCAAGCTCCTCAACAAGTACCAAATCAGAATTTGCAAGGGTAGGAATTAAAATCTGTGTTTTATTTTTAAAGTTCCCTGCATCGTTTTGATGTGTCCAGTTCCTGTATTTGGAAATCACTGGTTTAGACTTAACGTTGTCCTATGAGAGGAGGCTGACTAGCTAGCTGCTTAGGGGTTGTCTCACAGGGATGGCCTTATTTTGTCCATTCAGCACCTAGGCACACCCACCACCTTGGTGTTATCACCATGGTCCAGAAACTCAATTCTGTTAGTGCTTTTAAATTGTGATCTGTCTTCCAGGGATCAGATCATACTAACCAAATTCCAAACATCTAAAGCTATATGGTGGTTTATTAGATTACAATGGGAGATGGTCCTTTCCAGTGATTAAAATGCCAAAAGAGGCTGGGCACAGTGGCTCACGCCTGTAATCCCAGCACTTTGGGAGGCTGAGGCAGGCAGATCACCTGAGGTCAGGAGTTCAAGACCAGCCTGGCCAACATGGTAAAGCCCTGTCTCTTACTAAAAATACAAAAATTAGCCAGGCGTGATGGCACATGCCTGTAATCCTAGCTACTGGCGAGGCTGAGGCAGGAGAATCACTTGAACCCGGGAGGCGGAGGTTGCAGTGAGCCGAGATTGTGCCATTGCACTCCAGCCTGGGAGACAAGAGCGAAACCCTGTCTCAAAATAAAATGCTAAAAGAGAGATGGATTTTTCTGTTCCAGGATGATCTTACCATAGTTGGAGTAGGGGAGAGACCCAAAAGCCAATAACTGTGCCTCTACACATGCTGTTCTGTCTGTCTCAAATGTGTTTCATTCACTTTATATCCATTGAACTCTAGCTTGCCTTTCAAAACGCAGCTTTTGTGTAACCTTTATGTACTCATCCTCCTTTGTTTTAGAACATCTCTCACTTTTACTTTGCAGTTATGCGTATGCTTGTCTCCTCACTAGGATGAGGACTCTAAAATCTGGATAATTAATATGTAGAACTGAATTGTTTCAACTTTAATAGTTAACAATTCTCAAGAATTTAGTGGTCTGTAAAGCAGTCCTGTCATCTCTTGTCACTGTGTTCGCACAATACTCACATGGCGCTGTAGTTCCATCCAAGTAAGTCTTGCTTCCTACTTGGCTTTACTCTGCCTGGGGTTAAACTCTTGATGACACTGTGCATTTGGAGTTAGGAGTTCTAGATTTGCCATCAGAGTTTCCATCTACTCCTGCGGGTCCTTGGTCAGGACATTTAAAAGTTCAACTTTTAGCTGAATAACTAGTATTCAGCTAGTCAGTCAACTTTTAGTCTCCTATCTGTGAATTGGGGGTAGCTTGCTTGTCTGTGGATCACAAGAGATAGTAGACATTTTAAAACGTTAAGCACTCTACAATTGAGAGTGGTTACTGTGGGTGTGGAGATGTTGGGTAGGGAAGGGTCTATCAGGGTTTCCAACAAGAAAATAAGTGTTTGGCAGGGTGCAGTGGCTCACGCCTGTAATCCCAGCACTTTGGGAGGCTGAGGTGGATGATCCCCTGAGGCCAGGAGTTTGAGTCAGCCTGGACAACATAGTGAGAACCTATCTCTTTTTTTTTTTTTTTAAGTTTTAGTTTAAAAAAAAAGAATTTTCCTTTCTTTTAGATGTTTCTGACTGCCTAATGTAAACATTTCTCAGCAATTTATATTAGACCCTGAAGTTTTTCTCTGATATGTCAGTTCTATTTATTATATGATGATACTACATATGAAAGCACTGTTTTCTGTTCTGCCGATTAACCTAGTCTTTCCAGCAAACTTTCTCCATACGACGATCACAATTTAAAATTTTCTTTCCTATTATTATAAATGTCACAGTCCCAATGATGTCTTTCAGACTTTGAACTAAAAGCAGCAAAAAAAATCTAACATCAGATTATATGCCCCCGTTTTTGTTTCAGAACAGAGTATCACTCTGTCCAAGGCTTCTCAACCACCGCAGTCATAGGATGTTTCTTTTGTATTAATATGGAACTGTTTCCTGGTAATTTATTTTACTTAATACATCTTTCTCTTGATTTTTTTTTAACAGATATGGAGATTAATCACCAACTTCTTATTTTTTGGGCCAGTTGGATTCAATTTTTTATTTAACATGATTTTTCTGTATCCTTTATTAAATGGGGTCAGCATCAAAACTTTTTCTTAGGAAGTAAAAAATTAAGTTGAAACTTTTCATCCTGTTACTTGTTTTTGGTACCATCTTAGCTATGATTTCTGGGTCAGTGGTACATAAAGTAGTTGCTTAGGTAGTAATGTTTTGAAAATGTCTGTAGGTCACTTTGTTCAAATGGGAGGTTTTAACCATAAAAAGATAGCACTTCTGCTCTTTTGTTACTTACAAATCTGATCAAGGGAGGGGAGAATTGATTTAACTGAGGCATACCTCCACAGTAACCAACAGGTTCGAAGCCGTAAAACAACCTGAATGCAATGGTAATTCAGCAGAATTTGGGCATAAGTTTTGGAATGGGTTCATGAGGAGTGGGAACCTGAGATCTCCTTGGGTCCTGGTTGCTGGAACTACTGGCTGAAAGACAGTGGTTGTGTCTGCTGGGCTTGTCAAGTTCCGGTTTGTTGAAAGGAAAACCCCAGCTCTGATCCAATGGTAATTGGGGCCACAGAGCAGGGCATTCCTCTTCCACCCCTGCCCTCTGTATTAAGAGGGAGTTACAGTTCAACTCATCTGCAGCTGCATTCCTTCCTGAGGATGGCAGGAATCCATTTTATATCCTATGTAGGATATCATTCTGATAAGTTTCCATTAAAGTTTTTTCTCATCGTAATTCATCTTTATTGACTGAGGTGCTCAACCTGCCAGGCTGGAAAAGTAGTTGAGCACACAAGGCTTCTTGCTGCGGATTTCTTCCAAGTTAGGATGTGGGAAAGCAAAGATGGTGCATATTAAGGTGTGGCTGAGCACAGGAAAGACAATACAAATTTTTAAAGGTTTAATAGGGGACTGGAGGGCCGGGTGTGGTGGCTCACACCTGTAATCCCAGCACTTGGGGAGGCCAAGGCAGTGGATCACGAGGTCAGGAGTTTGAGACCAGCCTGGCCAACATGGTGAAACCTGCTCTCTACTAAAAATACAAAAAATAGCCTGGCATGGTGGCACACAACTGTAATCCCAGCTACTCAGGAGAATGAGGCAGGAGAATCGCTTGAATCTGAGAGGCGGAGCTTGCAGTGAGCCGATATGGCACCATTGCACTCCATCCTAGGTGACAGAGCGAGACTCTGTCTCAAAAGAAAAAAAAAAAAGAATAGGGGACTGAAAGCATGTCTGTGTGTCATCTGGATTAGTTCCCAGCCAGGGACAGTTTGTAAAAAATGATGCTGGTCTTGACCTTTTCTCAAATGCTTGGTAAAAAAGTAATCACATTACCACTCAAACATTCTTATACAAATGAAGACTTGACTAATTACAAATAATATGGAATCCAAGTGTACTTACAAGATAACATTAAATTTTTACTTTGTTCATATTCGTGTGCTTAATATTTTCTTAACTTGGAACTTAAGATATCGTTACTGTCGAATGCTAGAAGAAGGCTCTTTCCGAGGTCGGACAGCAGACTTTGTATTTATGTTCCTTTTTGGTGGATTCTTAATGACCGTATCCTTCAACAAACAACACGGGAAAATGTTGAAGAACACCCTGGCTCTTCCTAAAGCTTGTCATCTGTCTCCCACAGTTCTCTAGATCTTAGCTTCAGGGCACTATCATTTATTTTACAGCACATTTTCTGTGACAAGTTTCCAAACCTAGCAGTCGGACAGGATGAGCAAGTCAAAGGAACTTTTAACCCAGGTGGGTTACTGTTAAGCAACTCAGTTATATCATTACTGCTTGGCGTACTTCACTTTTAAACTAAGTTGGTAAGACATTTACTTGGTGGCTACCAAAACCAATAAATTATTTTTTCAGAAAAAGAATTTTCATCTATACAATAGACTTAGATATGGTACGGTCTGACAAGATGGTTTTGTTCCAGCTAGCTTTATTCATCTCTGTAAAGGTGCTAATCGTGAGCAAGCTTTAATATAATTATTGACTGAAGAATTAACACATTTTCCAAAGAGGCAAGAACTTCACGAAAGCAGAGTATTTGTTTGAAGTAGCTGTAAATCTCGATAATTTAGCCTAAGCAGATTTTTGCCTGATTGCTCTGGGTAATTATTTTCTGGGTGTTTCTCCTTCTATTCTAAAGATGTAACAACTTGACTTTTCCAATTCAAACTTCTGTTAGAACACAATCTTTAGTTCTCCTGCTCAGTCTTTCCTATTAAACTTTTAATGTTGATATTTTCCTTAATGCCATCTGCTAGCTTTTTGGTCTGTTTGTGAGCTTAGTTTTCTTGGGCCAGGCCTTTACAATAATGCTCGTCTATGTGTGGAGCCGAAGGAACCCCTATGTCCGCATGAACTTCTTCGGCCTTCTCAACTTCCAGGCCCCCTTTCTGCCCTGGGTGCTCATGGGATTTTCCTTGTTGTTGGGGAACTCAATCATTGTGGACCTTTTGGGTAAGGCTCTTCTCACTATTTTTTAAATTATTTTACCTGTAAAAGTATTTTGTTACTATTTTTCATGTTTATTCTGTTTGGCCTTCACGTATTACCTATTGTAAAATACCACAATATTAGTTCATTAATTTTTAATAATTATGTTGACATTCATCCTAAATATAGGCAATTTGTGTTGGTAGGTCTACCTGCAATCTAAATTTTAATTCTCTCCCTCATCCTTTATTTCTGCTTGACTCTAGGTATTGCAGTTGGACACATATATTTTTTCTTGGAAGATGTATTTCCCAATCAACCTGGTGGAATAAGAATTCTGAAAACACCATCTATTTTGTGAGTATTTAACACCAGGTTACATACTCTTACAGGCAAACCAGGACAGGGGCATGATCTGTGTTTTCTTTGGCTCCCCTAGCTCCTAGTACACATAGCTCAGGTCAGTAACCATTTGCAGATTGAGCATTCTGGCTACAGTTGAAGAGCACTTGGACTGGGTAGGAGCAGACAGTGCCAGGGTTGTGGCAAGACCAACGTCAACAGGCTCAAGATATCTTGGGAGTAACCTGGTAATTGTTAGAGATGACCACTAGAACTTCTATTCTGGTAGGAGCCTGCTGGTTTTATGAAAGCTGCTGTCCACGTTTAGTGAAGTAAGGTAGCAAAATGGGCAAAACTGATGAAAGTTTCTGATGGTGGACTTTGTGGCCTGCCAAGCAGGTGGTTGAGATAAGCAGTGAAGCAGAGTGGAAATAGCTTTGGACTGGAAACCAGGTGTAGCTGTCCCACTGACCAGCCATAGAGCAAGTCCTTTCTTTTTTGCACTTCAGTTTCCTGAGATAGAACTTTGATTTCTTTCTTTCTTTTTTTTTTTTTTTTTTTTTTTTTTTTTTACATGGAGTCTCACTCTGTTACCTAGGCTGGAGTGCAGTAGAACTTTGATTTATGAGACCTCTTTCTACTCTGGAATTTGGTATCCTTGGGAGATGCCATATTAAAAAGGGCTCAATTGAGAAGTAAAATGTGAGTTTTTGTTATAAAATGTTTGTTGTAGAATAGTAAGCAAAAAAGAAGAAAGTGAAATTGTCCACTATCCCGACACTTGGGTATAGCAGTGGCCACCATTGTTAACTTTTCAATGTGTATTCTTCAGTCTTTGTGTACTTTTTAAAAAACGCTGAGCCAGGCAAGGCTGCATACACTATGATTGCGCCTGTGAACAGCCACTGCTCTTCTTGGGCTAGGCCTTTAACATAGCCACTGCATTCCAGCCTGGACAACATAACACATTCCTGTAATCCCAGCACTTTGAGAGGTGAAGGCAGACGGATCACTTGAACTCAGGAGTTTGACACCAGCCTGGGCAACATGGCAAAACCCCATCTCTACAAAAAATCCCAAAATCAGCTGCATATGGTGGCATGTACTTGTAATCCCAGCTACTCGAGAGGTTGAGGTGGAAGGATTGCTTGAGCCCAGAGGGTTGAGACTGCAGTGAGCCGAGATCGCACCACTGCACTTCGGGCTGGGGGACAGAGTGGCACCCTGTCTCAAAAAACAATTTTTGTAACCTTGTAAACTTAGTATGCCATAATTGTTTTTTCCACCCTGAAGTGTTATAAAATTATAACAGGTGATATTCCATGGTATGGATATGGTGTAATTATACTAATCCCTTGTTGATGGACATTGACGTTAGTGCTTGGTTTTCTCTTCTGTAATTGGAGTGGTGAATGTCCTTGTAGCTAAATCTCTGCACACATCCATGATTATTTTCAAAAGATAATTCCTAGAAGTAGAATTCCTATTTTGTTGCCAAACGCCTTCCAGAATGGATGTTCAGGTTTACATTTCAACTAGCATTTATAACTGTTCATTTCCCCACATCCTAATCAAACAAGGAAGGCATTTTATTTACCCTTTCCTAGTTGAATAGTTGTAGGATGATGTCTCATTGTTTATGATTTTTAAAAAATGTTTTGAAACAATTTCAGTCCTACAAGAAATTACATATGCAGTACAGGTCTCACTCCATTGCCCAGGCTGGAGTGCAGTGGTATGATCATAGCACACTGTTAACTCAAGCCCCTGGGCTCAAGTGATCCTCCCACCTCAGCCTCCTGAGTAGCTGGGACTACAGGTGCACACCACCAAGCTCTGCTTATTTTCTTTCTTAAATGTTTTTTTTTGTGGAGACAAGGTCTCTCTATGTTGCCCAGGCTAGTCTCGAACTCCAGTCCTCAGGTGATCCTCTTGTCTCTTGGCCTCCCAAAGCACTGAGATTACAGGTGTGAGCCACTACACCCCACTTTTTATTTTTTTATTTTTTTGCAATTGTTTTCTGGCACAACAAGATATACCAGGCTCATCCTGTGCTCTCCTTGATCCAGTCCTAGAATCAGCTGTTTCTTCAAGGAGCCCTGGTTCCTTTAAAGTGGAGAATGGTATTTAGAAGCCAAGATCTGGGTGCTAGATGTGCTCATTGCTATTGGAGTGTTGCTATTCCCAGATCCTCTCAGTGAACAGAGCAATGGAATTATATGTATGTATGTATGATAATGTATACATGTGTATATTTTTAGATCTATGTATTTTTTAAAACATGGGTTTATACTATACTCCCATTTCTAGTACTACCTCATGGTTCATTCTAGCTTTTTTCCTATTGGTTTCCTCCAATATTTTATTATGAAAATTAACAAACTTATAGGAAATCAGAAAAAAATTGGAGTGAGCTTCATGTAGCCACCACATAGATTCTGTAATTAATAGTTCCCTATTCTTATTGCACACCTATCCCTACATCTAGCTTTCCAATCCAAAATGTATGTGCCATTATATGTATACTTAATTCCTTGTATACTTGAGTGTGCATATCAGTAACTAGAGTTTAGTATTTATGTGCAACAAAATACACAAATCTTGAGTGTGTCAACTGAGTTTTTATAAATGCACACATCTGTGTATCTATCAAGACAGAAAATTACCATCAACCAGAAAGTTCCCTGATGTCCTTCCCTGTCAATCATTGTACCTGTCCCCCAAGAAGCAATTGCTATTCTGGTTTTGTTCCTCTGTAGATTAGTTTTTCATGTTCTACAACTTCATGAGTAGAATTGTACAGTATGCATGTACTCTTTGGTATAAGGCTTCTTTCATTCAACATAATGTTTTTGAGACTCATCTGTGTTCTTGTATTTATTGGTAATTTGTTCCTTTTTATTGCTGAATATTATTTGGTTGTATGAATGTACCACTCCTTTCCATCTGCCCTTTCCATCTGTCCTAACCTGATTCTTATTATGATTAATGTTTTACCTACCTAATTACCCCTCATATGTAACCAGTCTTTCGGGATAGTCTCCACCTCTCCCATATGGATGCCTTGCTTATCTCACTCACCCTCAGATTCCCCAGACCAGGCTGCCCTCTTACAGGGATGCCTCCCCATCCTACTCGGGCTAACATCTCGTCAGGCCACCTCCATGTGTGCATGGTCTGATGGGGCTCTTGACTCCCTATACCAGGCTGTGCCCCCACCCCCATCCTGCTAATGTTTGGGCAGTAGAAGGGATCTCAGTTTTGTTTTTGTTGTCGTTGCTGTTTTTTGAAACGGATTCTTGCTCTGTCACCCAGGCTTGAGTGCAGTGGCTCAATCTCGGCTCACTGCAACCTCCGCCTCCTGGGTTCAAGCGATTCTCCTGCGTCAGCCTCCCTAGTAGCTGGGATCATAGGCATGCGCCACCACACCCGGCTAATTTTGTATTTTTAGTAGAGATAGGGTTTTGCCATGTTGGTCAGGCTGGTCTTGAACTCCTGACCTCAGGTGATCCACCCTCCTCGGCCTCCCAAAGTGCTGGGATTACAGGCATGAGCCACCACACCTGCCGGGATCTCAGTTTCTAATATACTTTCCTTTGATTATTGTGAGAGCAAACATTCTCACGTTTATTGACCACATGGATTTCCTTTTTGAATTGCATATTCAGCCCTTTGCCCATTTTTTCTGTTGGTATGTTTGTTTTTATTGTTAATTTGTAAGAATTTTAAAAACTCATTTTGAATTATACTATTTTCTGACTCCAGTATAAATCAGAAGTTTTCAGATACATTTCTAATTTTATCAACTGTGGAGGATTACAAGTAGAAATATAAGTGCAAATTGAGGATGCTGCTTTAATGGTTCCTTCTTTAGTGAGGTTTTGAATTACTACATCATAGTACTTAGGGAGTCTTTTGGACATTTACTATCCCCTCCTATGTTCTGCAGTAATTTTTCTTGGGATACCTTGTTAATTTTTTAAAAATTTTGTGGTAAAATAATACCTAACATAAAATTCACCATCTTAACTCATTTTAAATGTTCAGTGGCATTAAGTATATTCATACTGTTTTGCTGCCATCACCACCATCCATAGAACTCTCTTCATCCTACAGAACTACAACTCTGTACTCATTAAACAACTCCCCACCCCAGCCATCACCATTCTATTTTCTTTCTCTGAATTTGACTACTCTGTACCTAAGTGGAATCATACAATATTTGTCCTTTTTTGTCTGGCTTATTTCTTATTTCATTTAGCGTAAAGTCCTCAAGGTTCATCCATGTTGTACCATGTGCCTGAATTTCCTTCCTTTTTTTTGAGACAGTCTTGCTCTGTCGCCCAGGCTGGAGTGCAATGGAGCAGTCTCAGCTCACTGTAACCTGTGCCTCCCAGGTTCAAGTGATTCTTCTGCCTCAGCCGCCTGAGTAGTAGCTGGGATTACAGGCATGCGCCACCACGCCAGGCTAATTTTTGTATTTTTGGTGGAGACAGGGTTTCACCATGTTGACTAGGTGCAGTGGCTCATGCCTGTAATCCCAGCATTTTGGGAAGCCGAGGCAGGCAGATCACCTGAGTTCAGGAGTTCGAGACCAGTCTGGCCAACATGATGAAAACCTTCCCTCCTAAAAATACAAAAATCAGCCGGGCGTGGTGGCGGGCGCCTGTAATCCCAGCTACTCGGGAGGCTGAGGCAGGAGAATTGCTTGAATCCGGGAGGCGGAGGTTGCAGTGAGCCGAGATCGCACCATGGCACTCCAGCCTGGGCGACAGAGTGAGACTCCCGTCTCAAAAAAAAAAAAAAAAAATTCTATTATATGTGTGTACCGTATTTTGTTTATTCACCTGTTGATGCACACTTGGGTGATACCTTGGTTATGGGGAAACATTAATGATAAATATGTGAAAGTCAGGTTACAAAACATGTAGTGTGATCTAACTTTTGTAAAATGACATAATGTAAAAATTCCCAAAGAATAACTAAAACATTGACAATAGTTACCTCTGGAAATTGAGGATATTTTGCTCATCTCTATTTCCTCCTTCTCTGTAATTATTATGATTTGGATTGCTTTTGTAGTAAAAATCAGTAAAAGATAAAAGCTAATGTAAATGTTAATAATTATAGATGCTCTTACAATATGTTAACTGTTTAATTGGCAGGCAGGTGTAATGCTTACCTATTGGTGGAAACCCTATGGGGCCTGAACTGACCTTGTAGTACTTTGGACCTGAGATGACTCTGGGACCAAATTATATCTGTTGCTTGTCTTTTAGGAAAGCTATTTTTGATACACCAGATGAGGATCCAAATTACAATCCACTACCTGAGGAACGGCCAGGAGGCTTCGCCTGGGGTGAGGGCCAGCGGCTTGGAGGTTAAAGCAGCAGTGCCAATAATGAGACCCAGCTGGGAAGGACTCGGTGATACCCACTGGGATCTTTTATCCTTTGTTGCAAAAGTGTGGACACTTTTGACAGCTTGGCAGATTTTAACTCCAGAAGCACTTTATGAAATGGTACACTGACTAATCCAGAAGACATTTCCAACAGTTTGCCAGTGGTTCCTCACTACACTGGTACTGAAAGTGTAATTTCTTAGAGCCAAAAAACTGGAGAAACAAATATCCTGCCACCTCTAACAAGTACATGAGTACTTGATTTTTATGGTATAAGGCAGAGCCTTTTCTTCCTCTTCTTGATAGATGAGGCCATGGTGTAAATGGAAGTTTCAGAGAGGACAAAATAAAACGGAATTCCATTTTTCTCTCACTGTATTAAAGCTTTTGTGTGTGATCTTTTAAATTCTGATAATGTATTGTAGCCCTCCTGCGTAGATCTGAGCTCAGAACAGTTTACACAGCTGTTCTTCCTGTGTCTTCACAACTTTTAACTGGATTTCATTTCAGGATTGGAAATACGTGGCTGTCATGCTGTGGTTGTGTACATCTTACTAACTCAGAATGCAAGATTCAGCAGGAAGATGATTTATTTCTGTCATCTGGATAGGTTGTTTTGCATCTGGGTTTTGCCAAACTTTGTCAGACAACATGAAAAAAAAGGAGGGAGGATGGTTCTTGTAGCAGTAGGAATTCAGCTATAGGAAAGTCAGCTGTAAGCTAATGTGGCATCTTATTTGCTTTACTTACATTTCTCCATTAAGAAGTATCCAGGGAAAGATTGGTAAGGGCCACATTTTTGTAAAACTAGGAAGATTTTCATTAGACTTTTTTTTTCTTTTATTTTTAAAAAAGTTTTAATTAAAAATTTTTTTTTAAATACAGATGGGGTCTCACTGTGTTGCCCAGGCTGGTCTTGAACTCCTGGACTCAAGCAATCCTCCCACCTCAGCCTCCCAAAGTGCTAGGATGACAGGCATGAGCCACCATGCCCAGCCATTTTTTTTTTTTTTGCCTTTTTTGTTTTGTTTTGTTTTTTGTTTTTTTAATTAAAAAAAAAAAATAGAGACAGGGTCTCAGATTTTCATTAGATTTGGAAACCAAGTTAGAATGTTGACTTTGGAGCCAGACGAACAGATACCAGTTAGCTAGGCATATGTTCTTCCAGGGTCTTTGGCTAGTTAACATTAGTCATTTGCTTCGTGAAAATTCAAGAACCTTTTCAGAGCCAAGTACCTGGATTACCTTCCCAATCAGGTAGAAATTAGACAGGGTCCACAGAAGTAGACACTTAATGCTGTGGTTCAATAAATACTTCCCCTAAATATTAAGTCTTCCCTGAGTCTCAGCAGGTTTGCATTCACACTGCTTAAGTAACTTCCAGAACCTGGAAGAGTCGAAAGAGCACCCCTAGGAAAGAGATGATTCCAAACAGCTTTCATTAACGGCATGTAGGCACAGGTCCCTTTCCCAAAAGTGGATTGTTAGTAGTAGTTCATTCAACCTTTGTTAAGGGGTAGCTTTCCAGAATGTGACATTGTCCTCAGAAAGATAGACATAGGCTTAAACATAATGGACATCCTAAATAGGAATTTTCAGATTGTTTTTGAAGTGAAAAGTGTTTTAATGTCTTTAAATGGAATTGCATAACTAATGGTATTTAAGTATTTTACATGTTGCTAATAACTTTGAATATGATTGTTGCAATTTTATGGAACCTGGGTCTATGGGACTGCTTTTTAAGCAGTTTAAAAAAGGTTTTCAAAGTTTAAAAGCCAATCTTAGCATGTATAATCCTTATGGGATTCTTAAGTTTTATCCTATCTTGTTTTTGCTCAAGAACGCTTTATCAGTGACGTTTGTTAGAATTTTGTTTTTTGTTTTTTTTTTTTAAATTGTTTTTGGGCTAGAAATGAGTTTCTCTAGTTTTATTTGTTCTCCCTGAGTTGGAGTTATGCAATGAATGGCATTTTTGTGGTAAAATACTAATCCTAAAATCTGTTAACTCACTGTTCATTTAAGTAGGGAATATCTGTATACATTAATGACTAGGTAAAACAGGAAATACATTTTGAATATACAGCCTAAAGGCAGGCAGTTACAGGGTTTTTGATTTCTCCGATTTTATAGGGTGCAAGTTCCCAGTGGCAGGATGCCCTGCTGTGTGACTGACTACACTGTGTCCTGAGCAGTGGTAATTTCAATCACCTCTCATCAGTTTGGCCAGCCCTACAACCACCATTCCTAGCCCTGTGTTGCTTGACAGGATACCTGTGCTTGAATGGACATAAGGAAAAGTCCTTACTTTCTCCCCAATTTACCTCTCAATCTTAGTTCTTCCAGAACACACTTCCCTTTCACAATGCAAATAAACTGAAAGTGAGATTTGATACATGGAATTTTGAGACCAACCAACTAACCTTACACATAATTTGAGGGATTCCTGGATTCTTCTAGTGATACTGAAAAGCACACTTGACTAAAGCATAGTGTTTTTTGTTTGTTATGGAAATACGGTATACGTTCATTTAAAAATAAATGGACATACAAATTGCATCTCCTTAGGAGATACATTTTATATACATTTCGGTGCGTTTTTTTCCAGTATGGATTTCTATTTGTTTCTCTCTTCCTCTTGTTTTTTCTGTGTCACTCTTGTATGTCCTCATATCTTTCATACCTCTTGTGTAGTCTCTAGAAGCAGAACACCTAAGTCCTGGGTCTGGATAATGAAACCCTCAGTCTCTGGGGCCTCTGAAAATAAGGAAGCATTGGAGCTATTGCCATGTTGAGTAATGGGCTTCCTAGAACTATTGTCATCTATCCTGCCAGTGTTTTATGTTGTAGCTGTTTTTCTTTGACAGGTGAGTTCCAGCTATGTTGTTAGTCATGATCCTGCCATTATTTTCTGTGTTCTGTAGGATGTCTCCAGGCTACTTAAACATATTTTATGAGTTTGCAATAAAATTGTTGAATCTTGTATGATCAAGTCACTCCTCTGCTCAGAAATCCACAGTGACTTCTTAGTAAGCCCCTACATTATATGCATACTTGTTTTTTTCTTAACTTTACTCCCACTTCTACCTAACAGGGACCTCAACTTAAGTCTCTTCAGTTCTTCAAGGCCTGGCCTTGTTCCTGATTCCTCAAAAAATCTTGACTCTAAGGCCTATTTTATTGTCTGTCTCTGAATCCCTATAAAGCTTCAAGTCTGTATGACATTCTTAACGCCAAATTATATATTGTCTTGTACTGTTCCTAGCTGGTACATGTATATTAGTCTTGTCTCCCTCATGAGAATGTAAGCTCCTTAAGGGCAGGGACCATGTCTTAATTTTTGTATCCACCACAGTGCCTAGCACAGTGCTTGGCACATGGGTGCTGAATAAATACCTTTGTTTATTGATCAGCAAAGTATTATCTGGTATTTTTAATTATAGAGGGATTAAAGTGTATGCATGCAAGCTTGAGCCTAGTTGCTGAAGCTTGTGGTTGTCTCTGAAAGTGGGATAGAGGGAAACTGAACATGATCAAGGGCAGTAATTTGGTGGTCGGAAAAGCAAAGGTGACCACCAGCTGTTATGGTCGTGATCAGACCAGTTAAGTCCACAGACCATCCCAGACAAGTTAAAAATGAAATGTGTCTGACACTTCGTCGTTTGAAGGAAGAACCAGGATATTCTCTGAATAGTTATTAGCTTGTCAGTATCTACATATGAAAGCTGGTGAACCCCAAGAGACTTCTTCAGGAGAAACAGCAGATTTCAGTCTACCAATGGGAGAAATGTGAGCAGCATGGCTTGATGCATATATAGGACTTAATTTTTCCACTCTTTGGTCCTCTTAGCTTTGAGGCTATAGAATAGCTGGATCATTAGGCCAGAGATTATGGATGAGTTACCTACAGATTTGTTACCTACCTATGTGCTTTGTTTTGACAGTACTTTTTTTTTTTTTAAGTTTAAACCTGTATTTAACATTGACAGATAAAAATCTTCACTTTTGGCTTTTCTTGAGAAAATTGGAAGATCTGGCAATAATAGGTCTACATGACAGCCATTGCCTAGAAATGATTAGGGGCTGCATGTAGAGGTGGAATGTGCTCCATCAAGAAATAAGTCCACCCATTTACATTACCTAAATTATTGTAATCATTTGGAACATCGGACTCCTACCTTAAGTTACTCTGGAAAGCACACTGGGAAAAAGGACTGGGATGTCTTTACTCAAAGTCCATAATTTGAGAGTTAACATTTATTATCCCTTGTAGTTTTGGGTTGCCTTTCTAAATATTTCAGGGTAGGAAGTGAAAATTTGTCAGTTTATTCTTAAACACAAATCTGCTGCTGGTTCAACGTGCACATTTTCAGTAATGCCTGGTCACCAAACTGTCAGCAACTAGAGGAAAATTATCTCCGACCTGGAGCAAAGGGGAGGTTTTTTGTTTTTAGACTAGCTCTCTCACGAATCACGGGAAGGGAGATATTTAACAGGGCGAGTTTCATGGAAACGAGCTTCAGAAGATACCCTTCACATGAGCTGAAGCTTACGGTGTATTCTCTGGAAATCACATTTCCTGTAAGAGCAAACAGCTACTTGGCATTCTCCGTGGTAAATTAGCAAATCATCTAAGAACTTTTAGGAGGGTAAGGAAGAACTAGTTATAATCCTACTTTTTTCTGCTGCAGTTCTGAATCTTCACTGAAGTGTCTGTGATGGGGTTGCACAGCCATGTAGAGAACTTGAGAGTCTGGCTGGAATGGTTGGGGGAAAGGAAAGATAAAAGACAATTTTAATTTCATTGAACTCCCTCCTTTCTCTGCTTGTATTACTGGAGGCGACCACATCCGTTGGAGGAGTCATTTTCTGAGTTAAATTCATGTATATCAGAATTGGTTTTCCTTTCTGTAACACAAGATGATCACAAAATTATGATTTGGGGACATCTGAATGACTAAGATGACTCAATTTCTTAATCTGTAAATTAGAGATAATCTAATAACCAGTATATACCACATAACTTATAAGTTGTTTAGAGGATTAGACAATGCACGTTTGCGCTTCTCATTGATTTTACAGAATTAAGTACTTTCCTTGAAGAGTGACTGTTATTTGGACAGAGAAGGGGAAAACGCGGGTTTACTGAAAAGAAGTAATGCTACTAGAACAAAACAATGGGCGGGGCGCGGTGGCTCACGCCTATAATCCCAGCACTTTGGGAGGCCGAGGCAGGCGGATCACCTGAGGTCGGGAGTTCAAGACCAGCCTGACCAACATGGAGAAACCCTGTCTCTACTAAAAATACAAAATTAGACGGGCCCCGGTGGCGCACGCCTGTAACCCCAGCTACTTGGGAGGCTGAGGCAGGAGAATCGCTTGAACCCAGGAGGCGGAGGTTGCAGTGTGAGCCGAGATCGCGCCATTGCACTCCAGCCTGGGCAACAAGAGCGAAACTCCATCTCAAAAAAAAAAAATAAAACAATGAGAAAAACCTCGTTAACCAAGACTACAGTCCCACGGAACCTTACATCCTGTGTTTCCCGGTTGTAGCTCCGGGCCTTTTCCTGGTTGTACCTCAGGCCCTGCTTTTCCCACCCCCAGGAAGTGAAAGCCTTCCCAAGCCCCCAAGGCATGCTGGGAGATGCAGTCCCTTTTTCTAAAGACTGGGGCGGCCGTGAGGTCATCGGTGGTCGCCGGGAGCCGCCAGCACGTGGCGGCGAGGAAGGGGCGGTGTGCTCCTGTTGTCTGCACCTGAGAGGGGGCAGGAGCTCTCGGCGCTTGCGCCTCCCGCCGCGGTGCCCTCCCGACATGCCGGAGGAGGCGGGCTTCCCGCCGGCCAAGAGATTCCGGCCAGGCTCTGGACCTCCGAGCCGCGCTGGGTCCTTCCCTCCCGGGAGGCAAGTGGTGATGCTGCTGACTGCGGGCAGCGGCGGCAGAGGAGGAGGAGGAGGCCGGAGGCAGCAGCCGCCCCTGGCCCAGCCCTCGGCCAGTCCCTACCCTGAAGCTGTGGAGCTGCAGCGCCGGAGTCTGCCCATCTTCCAAGCGCGGGGGCAACTGTTGGCCCAGCTCCGAAACCTGGACAACGCGGTCCTCATCGGTGAGTGGCCGCGCCGGCGGGCTCTTCCTTGCACTTCGTCCGTGGCTTAGCTAGAGCAGTTTTTCTTACATGCCTCTCAATCCCTTTCGTTCGTGGCTTCAACAAACCTGAATACCTTTTCTGGGCCAGACCTGGAGAGGGGCCTCGAAGAAGAGTCCGGCAGCCCTGCCCTGGAGGCGCTGGACAGCCCGGTGAGAGTGACCAACGTGTGTAGGCAAAGACTCACCTTCCGCGTAAAAGGGTAGAGAAACGTACCGGGGGCTTGCGGATCTTAGAAGAGTGGATCTGACCCGGTTTGTGAGGAGGCGGCTGGGGAGGTCGTGTGGGAGGGAGGGCATTCTAGGCAGGGGGGAAAGCCCGTTTGAGAGATGGGAACCTGAACACATTCCGGTCGAAAGGGAAGGTGTAGTTTCTGGTGCATGAAAAGAGGCAGAGTTGTGGGGCAGGGACTGATTTCATGGGGCTTATGATCCCCAACGTGTTAGAGGAGATACTGAAGGACGGAAAGGATGAGCAGCCAAAGAGAGGAAGGAGACCCATGAGTGCTGCTAGTCAAAGGAATAGAGAGTGAGCAGATGCAGCAGTCAAGTCCGGTTATACTGGACTTGGATGTGATGCCCACTGGATTTGGATGTGAGCTATTTGTAAGAGTTAAAGAAAAAGGAAAGAAACACGAAACGCGGCTGGCAGTTAAAGACAGCTTTTCTTTAGTTAAAACCTGAGAGGCGCTCCTGGCCGATTTCGGTCAGGAGCCCTTTCTCTTACAGACTAAGAGTATATATTGGTGTTAGGGTGAGGGGGCTTATCACAAGCTTGGAATGTTTATATGTGTGGAGAAGTTTTTGGCAGGGTTGGACTCTTTGGGAGCAGGGGATGTTATCTTGGGGCAGACATTTTTCCGGCCCGAGGGGGTTTATCTCCCGGCTGGCATATTCCCGGCTGGCATATTCCCGGCCAGAGTGGGGTTATCCCTTAACATGTCTCTGGTCGGGGAGGAGTTTGGAATGTTTCTGGCTGGAGATGTTATTTGTGGTTTATGGTCGTGCTGACCTTAGCCATTAGGCTGATACCTTTTGGATTTAGGCGGTTTTTTATTAAGGTGAACTTTTGAATGAGGGGCTTGTCCAAGATGGTGATGTTCCTGCTTTGTCAATCCAGACCCTATAGTTATAAAAAGGAGGAGGGACGGCATGTTCTTTCTGGCTACTTCCTGCAACGAGGGGATGGAGAGTTTCCTGGTCTCGGGTTGACTAGGAGCAATGCCGTCTGTAGATGTTTTTGGGTAGTTGTTTGTGAAATTGCCATGATCCTGTCAGTTAAAAATCTTTGAAAAAGATTAATTAGGCAGGGTAAGAACATTAGTTCCAGGCATATTATTAGGAGAGGGCCCAGGAATGGGATGACCCATGCTATGATTTTGTTTTCAAACCAAGAGTCCATTTGGTGGTTTTGGTACTCCCTTAGCTTTTTAGCCTTTTCTTTACGTTTTTTAGCAGCGCTTTTTACTAGGCCCGATTGGTTGATATAGAAAGAGGCGTGAGCCACCGCACCTGGCCCCCTCAAAACAATTATTTAACCTTTTAACGTAGGTAAAAATGTGCATTCTTATCCCTCCTGATAATCTTTTTACCGAAAGTGTACTTTACTTTCCTTACACACCTTGCACATAAAGTGTCTCTTCAATAGTTTTAAATACATGTTACACTGTTAACTTTTAGCAACCTTTACCTTTGTTGAAAACCTTGGTAAGTTCGGGATTTTAATTATGTGCTAGGTGTACAGCCTAGGACTTAGACAGAAGTGCAGTTAAGGTCTGGCTTATTTCAGCATTTAGCTCCATGTGTCCTAGGTTTTACCTAGCTGCAAAGCAGGCAAGTTCTACAGCTAAGAGTTATGGTGACATTTTATAAAGCATTCAGGAGGCCTAATCACTTTTAAATTGTAAAACATTTCTTGCATACATTTCCTCTCATAAAATTTTTCATGACTTTCACAGACTATCTCTGACACTATTGATCGTGGATCCATCCCATCGAGAGCTATTTCAACAAAGCTGTGTGGGTAACAGCTGATTTGTCATTGAGCTGAGGGCTGAAAGCAGGGGGAAGAGGCTTCTGTTTTGAGGAAAAAGGAGGGAAGCTGAGAGAAACTTTATGGATGCTGCTCGATTTAGGATGGGGTTATGTGTGGATGAATCCACCCATCCTCATAAGTTGAAAATATCCTAAGTTGGAAATGCATTTAATATGCCCAGCCTACTTTCAGTGTGCTCGGAACATGTACATTAGCCTATGGTTGGGTGATATTATCTAACATGAAACCTATTTTATAATAAAGTCTTGAATATTTCATGCAATTTATTGAATACCATACTGAAAGTGACAGTTGTGTGGGTACTCAAAAGTACAGTTTCTACTGTACGATTTTGACTTTTGCTCCATCCTGAAGTCAAACAGTTCTAAGACAGGGACCATCTGTATTCAGAGGTTGAGGGGAAGAACTCAGTAGGGAGGGAGGCAGAAGATAGAATCGAGCTAACAGAGCAAAGATCAGGAGGCATGGGGGACGGGGGAACTTGGCCACAAGGGCTAGATGCAGGGCTGGTCTGGAAGAGGAGGAAGGCTAAGAGGCTGCAGGGCTAGAGAACGGATGTAAGGATGGTGCACTGCAGAAGGGCTTCTAGGGGCAGTTAGGGAGAGACCACATTTTAGAACCCCACTTCTGTGAGACAGGTTCAGGAGCCCTGCTCAGAATGGGAGTCACTGGGCTTCAAGTGGGCCCTTGGGGAGGATGGAGACGAGACAGGCTGCAAAAACAAGAAAAAAGATCGATGGCAGTAGTGGTGCCTAGGTGCATTTCGGCTACACTATAAACTCAGGTTTGCTTCTGCACAGCCAGATTATAGGTGGAACATCCCAAATTTGAAAATCCGAAGTCAAGAATGGGCTCCAAGGAGCATTTCCTTTGAGTGTCATATCAGATGCTCAAAAAGTTTTGGATTTGGGAGCATTTAGGACTTCAGATTTTCACATTTAAAATGCTCAGCCAGTAAGTATAATGCAAATATTACAAAACTTGAAAGAATCCAAAGTTCAAAACACTTCTGGTTCCAAGCATTTTGTATTTTACTTTAGCAACGCTCTGTTGCCCTGGTATAGGAGCATGAAAGATAGAGACATGGATCAAAGTTTGGGGTTTTGCCTAGTGGATTCAGCAGGAAGATTGCAGAATAATCAAATCCTTTGTCTGATTCTTATCTGGGTCAGGAAGGATGAGCAGTCAGAGGGGGCTGACAGACTGACAGGGAAAAAAACCCACAAATCATGGGACTGGAGGACTTTTTGAAGTCAGAGAGGCCTGGTGGTAGCTAGAGGGAGGGGAAGGAAGCGCAGGTTTACTGAGTTCTTTGCTCTAATCAGGCACTGTTAAAGGAATTCACACAGGGTAGGAAGTAACATTTACTGCGTGCTTATTGTATGCAAAATACTCAAGTACACGAGAGGGACATTCAGAGCACTGCCCTCTGGGAGCTTCCCTTCTGGTGTTGGAGGAGGACGGACACATTTAAACGCTTCTGTACAACACAGGATGGTCAGTGCTGGAAGAGAGATGAACAAGGCACTACGGAGCCCAGAGGAGGGCCACTGTGCAGCCAGGGGAGCGTGTTTGAGGCCTAACTCATCTTAGAGTTTGCGAGGCAGGCAGTGTGAGGGCAGGTGTTCTGCCCATAGTGTGGGCAGAGGCAGAGGGTTTGAAGGGAGGCAGCAGGCTGGGGAGTGGCCAGGAGTTGAAGGCAGCAGTGCATGAATGGATGTCTCTTCATGTCAGTCAGTATGCAGAAATCTATGTAACGGTTGTATTTTATTTTATATTTTAACTATGTAAATTACCTTTTGAACATTTATATTGTTTCCAATTTTTTTCTGTCAGGAGCAAAATTGAATAAAATCTCTTTGAAGCTGTATCTTTATACACATGTTTACTTATTTTGTTAGAATCAATTTCTGCAAGTAGAATTGTGGGTCAAGGGATATAAACATTTTAAAGATTTAAAAAACATAATTTGACCACCTGAGAAACAATACCAATTAACCAGCTAATTTCACCAGCAGTATACATACCTGAATGCCCATTCTCCTGAGGCTTTACCAACACAGGGTATTTTATCTTTTACTTCTGACTTTGAGCTGTTTGTTTGGTGAAATTTATGTCAATTTGCTTTTTGTTGTTGTTGTTTTTCTAAGACAGGGTGTCATTCCGTTGCCCATGCTGGAGTGTAGTGGTGTGATCATGGCTCACTGCAGCCTCAACCTCTCAGGCTCAAGCAATATGCCCACCTCAGCCTTCAGAGTAGCTGGGACCACAGGCGTGCACCACCACGTCCAACTAATGTTTGTATTTTTTGTAGAGACGGCATCTCCCTATGTTGCCCAGGAGCAACTCCTGGGCTCAAGTGATCCTCCTCCCTTGGCCTCCCCACGTGCTAGGATTACAGGCATGAGCCACTGTGCCCAGCCGATTTGCATTTCTTTTTTTATTTTTATTATTTTTTTTGAGACAGTGTCTCACACTATCTCCCAGGCTGGCATGCAGTGGCACAATCATGGCTTACTGTAACCTTGAACTCCTGGGCCTCATGATCCTTCTGTCTCAGCCTCCCTAGTAGCTGGGACTACAGGCACATGCAACCACACCAGGCTAATTGTTGTTGTTGTTGAGACGGGGTCTTGCTATGTTGCCCAGGCTGATTTTGAACTCCTGGGCTCAAGAGAGCCTCCTACCTCGGCCTCCCAAAGTGCTGAGATTATAGGTGCCAGCCCTGGTGCCGAGCCCCAGTTTGCATTTCAGTGAGCCTTTTTTTTTTTTCCCCCTCTCTCCTAGGGGAAACTGGCTCTGGGAAGACAACTCAGATCCCTCAGTACCTGTATGAAGGAGGGATCAGCCGCCAGGGCATCATTGCTGTGACCCAGCCTCGTCGAGTAGCTGCCATCTCTCTTGCTACTAGAGTCTCAGATGAGAAGAGAACTGAACTTGGGAAGCTGGTACCTGGTTCCTTCTTGACTATTAGTACTTCTTGACTCAACAGCTCTCTCCCCATGCCCACTGCCTTTTATTTTTCTAAACAAGACTCCTTTTACATAGTGAGCTGCTTTCTTGCCTATTCTTCCGAGAGTTCTTTACCAGCTCCTGAGAGATCAGGGGCTCTATTGGTCCCATGTGCTTTGCTTTCAAAATCTGTCGTCAGGTTGGATAAATTAGTTGCTTTCCTTGAACATCTTAAGCCTTCAGTAACCTCTCTTAACTCTCTTATCTATATATCATTCTAGAAAAATTGTAAGCATTATGCCAGTGTATATGTGAGTATTGAGAATGAGTCTCAGAACTGTATATAAGACAGATTTATTTGTGTGTGTGTGTACTCATTTCACTTAAAAATACCTTAGACGTCTTTTCATATCTGTACATAGCTTCACATGAAACTTTTTTTTTTTTGGAGATAGTCTCGCTCGGTCGCCCAGGCTGAGGTGCAGTGGCGCAATCTTGGCTCACTGCAACTTCCGCCTCCAACCAAGCAATTCTCCTGCCTCAGCCTCCCGAGTAGCTGGGATTACAGACACGTGCCACCACACCCAGTGGCTAATTTTTGTATTTTTTAGTAGAGACGGGATTTCAGCATGTTGGTCAGGCTGGTCTCAAACTCCTGACCTCGTGATCTGCCTGCCCCAACCTCCCAAAGTGCTGGGATTACAGGTGTGAGCCACCACACCCGGCCCACATGAAACTATTAAATAGCTTGAGGTAGAAGGTTAATTTTAAATATTCCTTGTAATAGTTACATTAATTGCGGTTAAAGTAAACTTGACCATTGTCTCTCTCAGCAGCTAGACTGCATGCTTCCCAAGGGAGTGGGAAGCGTTGGTGTTGGTCTTGTTCACTGTGGTAGTGCAAGTGCCCAACTTAGTGCCGGACACAGTGGGCGCTCAAGAAATGTTTGGTGACTGAATAAATTGTTTCCCTGCACAGGTTGGCTATACAGTGCGCTTTGATGATGTCACCTCAGAAGACACCAGGATCAAGTTTCTGACAGATGGCATGCTTCTGCGTGAAGCAATTTCAGACTCTTTGCTTCGGAAATACAGCTGTGTCATTTTGGATGAAGCTCACGAACGGACTATCCACACAGATGTGCTCTTTGGAGTGGTGAAAGCTGCACAGAAGAGGAGAAAGGAACTCGGGAAACTTCCTCTGAAAGTATGAGGGAAACTTCCCCTGAAAGTATGAGGGAAACTTCCCCTGAAAGTATGCGTAACACACAGAAGGAAACAGGCCTGGCTGGGCGCGGTGGCTCACGCCTGTAATCCCAGCACTTTGGGAGGCCAAGGCCGGTGGATCACCTGAGGTCAGGAGTTCGAGACCAGCCTGGCCAACGTGGTGAAACCCCGTCTCTACTAAAAATATAAAAATTAGCTGGGTGTGGTGGCACACATCTGTAATCCCAGCTACTTGGGTGGCTGAGGCATGAGAATCGCCTGAACCCAGGAGGCGGAGGTTGCGGTGAGCTGAGATCACACCACTGCACTCCAGCCTGGGTGACAGAGCGAGACTCTGTCTCAAAAAAAAAAAAAAAAAAAAAGTGAAAGTTCATTAAATAGCATAACTTTATAGACAACTTGTATTTCAGGGAGTTGGCAGAAATATGATCTGAAAGTATCCAGATAATTGGCCCGGCACGGTGGCTCACGCCTGTAATCCCAGCACTTTGGGAGGCCGAGGCCGGTGGATCACCTGAGGTCAGGAGATCGAGACCAGCCTGGCCAACGTGGTGAAACCCCGTCTCTACTAAAAATACAAAAAATGATCCAGGCATGGTGGCACATGCCTGTCGTTCCAGCTACTAGGGAGGCTGAGGCAGGAGAGTCACTTGAACAAGACTGAAATTCCGTCTTGATTTTTTTTTTTTTTTGCACTCTGTTACCCAGGCTGCAGCGTGGTGACGCGATCTCAGCTCACTGCAAGCTCCGCCTCCCAGGTTCACGCCATTGCTTACCTCAGCCTCCCAAGTAGCTGGGACTACAGGCGCCCACCACCGCACCTGGCTAATTTTTTGTATTTTTAGTAGAGACGGGGTTTCACCGTGTTAGCCAGGATGGCCTCGATCTCCTGACCTCGTGATCCGCCTGCCTCGGCCTCCCAAAGTGCTGGGGCTGGGATTACAGACGTGAGCCACCGTGCCCGGTGAAACTCCATCTCAAAAAAAAAAAAAGAAGGAAAGGAAAGGAAACAGACCTGTGTGCTCTAGCAGGGTGTTTTCCTCTGCCTGTTCTGCTCAGAGCCTTGGAAGAAAGTAAACTGTGATGGGGGTGGCACAGGCCTCAATCATCTGCTTTTGGGGCTCGAGAGGGACACGGAAAGGCCTTCCCACTATTTGTTTCTGGTCCTCCTCTTCGTTCTCTTATGCAGGTGATTGTGATGTCAGCTACGATGGATGTGGACCTGTTCTCTCAGTATTTCAATGGCGCCCCCGTCCTCTACCTAGAGGGTCGGCAGCATCCGATCCAGGTGTTTTACACCAAACAGCCTCAGAATGATTACCTGCACGCCGCGCTTGTCTCCGTCTTCCAGATCCACCAGGTATGGTGCTGGGGGCAAATTCCTGAAAAGTTCTCTTTTATCTTGCAGTTGGTAGTGAGAACATTGAGCCTTGAAAAGAAAAGCTACTGAATAAAACAACTTTGTGAGTTGTGTCATCAAGATGAATAAGGAGGCCAGGTGCGGTGGCTCACGCCTGTAATCCCTGCACTTTGGGAGGCCGAGGCAGGTGGATCACCTGAGGTCAGGAGTTCAAGACCAGCCTGGCCAACATGGTGAAACCCCATCTCTACTAAAAATACAAAAATTAGCCAGGCATGATGGCGGGTGCCTGTAATCCCAGCTACTCGGGATGCTGAGGTGGGAGAATCGCCTGAATCCGGGAGGTGGAAGTTGCAATGAGGCGAGATTGCACCACTGCACTCCAGCCTAGGTGACAGAGGGAGACTCCGTCTGAAAAAAAAAACAAAAAAAAAACAATGAATAAGGAGTTCATTTGCTGTGTCTGGATTTTTATCCTTTATTTATGATATCTCTAATTTTCATTGAAAAGAAAAATAATTCAGTTCTGACCAGCAGCTTTCTTACACTGAGCCAGAAAATTTTCATGTTAAAGCAGTAGCTTACCAACTTTCCTTGATTATAACCGCCATTAAGAAGTACTTTTGGCTGGGCACAGTGGCTCACGCCTGTAATCCCAGCACTTTGGGAGGCCGAGGCGGGTGGATCATGAAGTCAGGAGATCGAGACCCTCCTGACTAACATGGTGAAACCTCGTCTGTACTAAAAATACAAAAAATTAGCCGGGTGTGGTAGCGGGCGCCTGTAGTCCCAGCTACTCGGGAGACTGAGGCAAGAGAATGGCGCGAACCCAGGTGGCAGAGCTTGCAGTGAGCCGAGATCGCGCCACTGCACTCCAGCCTGGGTGACAGGGCGAGGGTCTGTCTCAAAAAAAAAAAAAAAAAGGTACTTTTTCTTTTGCAACCCCGTACGCTATACATATAACTGAAATAGGTCTATGAAACACTGCTTCTGGCCAGGCATGGTGGCTCACACCTGTAATCCCAACGCTTTGGGAGGCTAAGGCAGGAGGATCACTTGAGTCCAGGAGTTCAAGACCAGTCTGACAACATAGCAAAACCCTGTCTCTATAAAAAAAATTATAAAAATTATTTTTTAAAGAAGAAGTACTGTGTCTTTTACTACATGTAGGGTACTCTGATATTTTGTGCCTCATTTAAAGAAAATGTTGGCTGGGCACAGTAGCTCACACCTGTAATCCTAGCACTTTGGGAAGCAGAGGTGGGTAGGATTGCTTGAGCTCAGGAGTTTGAGACCAGCCCGGGCAACATAGCAAGACTTGTCTCTACTAAAAATCAAACAATCAGCCAGGTGTGGTGGTGCATGCCTATAGTCCCAGCTACTTGGGATGCTGAGGTAGGAGGATCACTTAAGCCTGGAAGATTAAGGCTGCAGTGAACTATGATCACCGCACTCCAGCCCGGGAAACAGAGCAAGATCCTATCTCAAAAAAAGAAAAAGTTGACATTAGCCCAATAATGGGTTGCAACTTAGAGTTTCTTTTTTTTTTAAACTATATTAGGAGAATATTTAAAAATATTTTCTCATTTTATTAAACATTTACTTCAAAAATTTGAATCATTAAGTCACTTTTGTTTAATTTGTATAAAATTTAATGTTTTTACCTTCCTATTAGCTTTCTGAGAAAATCCAGAGGCAAACTTTTAAAATAACTTTTTATTTAATTAATTTACTTATTTAGAGACGGGGTCTCATTCTGTCACCCAGGCTGGAGTGCAGTGGCATAATCACAGCTACTACAGCCTCGATCTCCTGGGCTCAAGCCGTCCTCCTACCTTTGCCTCCTGAGTAGCTGGAACTACAGGCACACACCAGTACACCTGGCTAATTTTTTTTTATGTTTTGTAGAGACAGGGTCTTGCTACGTTGCCCGGACTGGTCTCAAACTCCTGACCTCAAGTGATTTTCCCGACTCAGCCTCCCAAAGCACTGGGATTGCAGATGTGAGAAACCGTGCCCAGTCAATTTTTATTTTAAAATAAGTGATGCATATGGGATTTAAAGTTTTAAAAAGTCAAGTAGTTTATAGTAAAAGGTTTATAATAAAAGAATAGCAGTTGTTTTTACTTCAACATCCCAGATTTCTGCTGTTTAGGGCACCTACTTTCAATCTCTACATATTGCTTTCATGTTTCTAAACTACCTTGCTTTGACCACTATTTTTTGAGTTATGGGTATCAGGCATCATATGCTAATTTCTTACCATGGTGACAAAAGTTTAGAATGCCCCTCCCCAACCCCCTTTATCTCCAACCTCTTGACAGTTCTATCATGTTTTTGTTTAGGTTTTTGTTTTTGAGGCAGGATCTTGCTGTGTTGCCCAGGCTGGTCGTGAACTCCCGGGCTCAATCAGTCCTCCCACCTCAGCATTGGGAGTAGCTAGGACTACATGCTTGCACACCTGTGTCTGGCCTATTATGATGTTTTCTGAGTCCAGTATCAATACTAAGAATATTATGACCACACATTGCTAGTAGCACACCATCATCCCTGTACCTTGTTTCTTGAACAACACAGTTGTGCAAGCTTTCTGGGTAGCTCTGGCTCATTTTCTCCCAAATATTCCAACATCTCATATGCCAGTCGTGTATAGTTCTGTGTTCAAGCACAGTCTGTCTTTTCAGAGTCCTTTATGCTGCTGTTCCAGTTGGGGCAGGTGGCTCTCCTGGGCCTTTGTGCAGCTGTCATCTTGACTCTTCACTTTGTCACCATTTTCCCGTGGTGAGACCCATGGCTTCCCAGTCTCCTGGCCGTCCTGGGTAGGAGAGGGAACTGAAGGCTTTAACTACTCTATACTCAGACTTTGAACCAATCCCTGAGTTTTCACTCTCCCACAACATAATTTGTAGTTTCCTCCCTCTAGCCAAGTCATCCAGCCCCTTTCCCCTCTCTTCCAAAATGAGTTGAGACTCCTCATCTCTCATTGCCTTTTCTTTCTAAGACAGTGGCCTTTACTGTCGTTTTCATAGTGTTTGGGGAAGAAGTCTGCCTTGTTCAGCTGCAGAAAGCAAACGAGAATTTTTCATGAATGATGGCTGCTGGTGCATTAGGTTACCACTGGCTTTGATGAATTCTCCCACTCATGAGGTTTTGACTGTTTTAGATTTTATCCTGTCTGTGTATCCCTCTGCACATTTGTTCTGTTAATACTGGGCTGAAAAAAAATACATATTAAAAAATACGTATTTTTACATATATACATAAATATACATATAATTATTAAAATTTTTTTCTATTTATTTTGCCATTAGGCACTTTTTTTTTTTTTTTTTGAGATGGAGTCTCACTGTGTCGCCCAGGCTGGAGTGCAGTGACACGAGCTCGGCTCACTGCAACCTCTACCTCCCAGGTCCAAGTGATTCTTGTGCCTCAGCCTCCTGAGTATCTGGGATCACACCTAGCTAACTTTTGTATTTTTAATAGAGATGGGATTTCACTGTGTTGGACAGGCTGGTCTCAAACTGCTGACCTCAACCCATTTGCCTGCCTCAGCCTCCCAAAGTGCTGGGGTTACAGGCATGAGCCACTGCGCCCAGTCCATCAAGCACTTCATTTTATTTATTTATTTTTTGAGATGGAGTCTTGCTCTGTCGCCCAGGTTGGAGTGCAGTGATGCAATCTCGGCTCACTGCAACCTCCGCCTCCCATGTTCAAGTGATTCTCCTGCCTCAGCCTCCTGAGTAGCTGGGATTACAGGCGTGCGCCACCACGCCTGGCTAATTTTTTGTATTTTTAGTAGAGACAGGGTTTCACCATGTTGGTCAAGCTGGTCTCGAACTCCTGACCTCAGGTGATCTGGCCGCCTCGGCCTCCCAAAGTGTTAAGCACTTTACATCAAACAAATTAATGTATCTGATCAGAAATCAAAGAAAAATCAGGGCATTAGGTATGTCATTCACACTTGGGTGTTGTTCCATTTGAAAGTGAGGAACCCCATTAACCTCAGTATCTCAAGCAGTTGTCCGAGTATAGTGTGTGTTTTGGGGCGTGTGAAAGCGCTTTCGACGGCGTCATTCATTAAAGGCTCCTTCTCCAGCATGGCTGCGCCTGTTCATTTCCATAGATTAGGATTTCCCCAAGTTTCCTTCTGTTTTGTCAACTTCATTTTTCAAGATGCTTATAAAAGAAAGGAAGCTTCATGCAGATTTTATTTGCTTGCCTGATTATGCTTTTCATGGTATTGTTCTTGTTAGAAAAATCAATCTGATGATTTCCCTTCAAAATTTCATCACTTGGCCTATAAACATAGCTGGCTAACTCCTATATATTACAGTTTTGTTTTTTGTGTTTTTGAGTCAGGTTCTCGTTCTGTCGCCCAGGCTGGAGTGGAGTGGCAAGCAGCTGGAACTATAGGCATGTGTCACCACCCCTGACCAATTTAAAAAAAAGTGTTTTGTAGAGATGGGATCTTGCTGCGTTGCCCAGGCTGGTCACAAACTCCTGGCTGCAAACGATCCTCCCGCCTCAGCCTCCCAAAGTGCTGGGTTTACAGGCGTGAGCCATCACACCCAGCCTGTTACCATTTACACACTGCTGGTAAGGGTTCTCTCCAAGCTAGACATCAACTTTTAGGCTCATTTACATTTCTATAGTTAAGAGAAATAACTCTGGGAAACATCATCAATCACCATTGTCTTTTTCTGTGCAAGCTGCAATTCTATCAATGCCTAGTAAACCCACTCTACTTTTTTTACAGGAAGCCCCTTCTTCACAGGACATCCTGGTGTTCCTCACTGGGCAGGAGGAGATCGAAGCCATGAGCAAGACGTGCCGAGACATTGCAAAGCACCTCCCAGACGGCTGCCCTGCGATGCTGGTCCTTCCTCTGTACGCCTCCCTGCCCTATGCACAGCAGCTCCGAGTCTTCCAAGGGGCCCCAAAGGTGAGTGCACCACCTCTTCTGTCCAGCCCTATTCTGGGCACCCAGACGGATCCACCAGCGAGGTCTGTACCTGTTACCAGGCTCCAGATAAGGTGTATGGGATGGGATACCCAGGTGCCAGATCAGCGCACTGAGGAGGTGCAGGAATAAAATGCGCGGTGACACACGCAGCGCTCCTGTGACAGGAGCAGGGAGACAGTTGTTGGGATGAGGGAGAGTATAAACCAAAGCTGCAAGGTAAACGAGTGACTTCTAAGGACCAGCATAAATTGCATTTGTCCATAGTGCCATTTCTTGTGTGCCTTTGCCGTGCCAGGCACTGTGCTAGCATTTATATCCACTGTCTGTCATCCTCGTGGGAACCGGCAAGGCAGGTTATGATCCCATGGGGATCCTGAGGCCCCAAGAAGGGAAGTAACAATTGCTCAAGGGGGCGCATAGTAAGTCACTGGCAGGGCCACGATTCCAACCCACATCTACTTGCTTCTGATTCCTGTGCTTGTTCCACTGCATCTCATTGCCTCAAATTGACCTTTAAGACTGCAGCGTCCCCTTCCCCTGCCCGGTTTAATGACCAACCATTAATATTAATGACTGCCATTAATAATGGAGTCATCTTCTGTTGGTCAAGAGTGAATTGTGGAAGTTAATGGTGAGAATATGTTTGAAGACTTCTGAATCATCCGTGTGTCAATGCGGCTTTTTGGTTTTCTTCCTCCTTTTAGGGCTATCGCAAAGTGATCATTTCAACCAACATCGCTGAAACCTCCATAACCATTACAGGAATAAAATATGTAGTTGACACGGGCATGGTTAAAGCAAAGAAGTATAACCCTGGTGAGAATTTGTAGTTCATGAATGTCTCTCCTGTGTCTAGTGAGCAGCCACTGAAACTGTAGTCCCACAGTTTTCCCCTGAGTGTTTCATGTTTGTAACTAACAAATTCAGGTGGCAGGCGCCATGAGTGAGATCACCTACACTCCAGGTCCGCGAAGGAGTCCTGAGGCGGGTATGTGAGACAGGAAGTAGAGGCAGGAAAGAAGAGCCCAGGTTGAGCAAACTTGGGCACACAGGGTCAGGGACCTGGGCAGAGGGTCTGGTACCCCATCAGAAGTCGGCTCTAAGGCCAGGGACAGCTGGGTGTCAATCAAAGGGTGTCATCAGAAACTATATATATATGGCTGGTTTGAGCTCCCAGGTTTCTCAGGAAGGAACCAGATCTCCTGGCTGAGGTGAGGCATGGAAGGAGCACTGGCTTCTCCTAAGAAGGTGCAGTGAGAAGCTAACTTAAGGTCATCTTGACTCATGTCTGTTTTATACTTTGCTTTATTCCACAGAGGATTTGAGACCACTGAAATTATTGCTCCCAATTATTGAACTGAAATGCTCTAGTAAACATTTGAGGGTCCTGGCTTCCACAGGTGTATCTTTTTGTGATGACGTAGGTGAAAGAGCTTGGGTCTCCAGTGCCAGGCTAATGATACACCTTTATCAAGAAAATGAACCTCATTTACTGCTAGAAAACAGACATCACATTATTTCTGTCTTACAGCAGAACTGGGAGGGAGGATAAAGCACACAAGTGATTTGAGGCATTTAATTTCGTAGTCATTGATTGATAGTATGACCCCCATCCTAGTTTGCTGAAACTCCCAGTTTTAGCACCCAAAATCCGACATCCCAGGAAACCCTCTGTCCCAAGCAAACTGGAGGGGTTGGCCATCCTACCATCTAAGGCAAGACCTCGGAAACTACTCTTCTCGCCCCTTGCTGCATGCGTGAGGTTTTTCTGATGTTTTTGTAACAGATTTCACAGTGGGCTTATGGCAAAGCCTTGTTTCACTAGGGCCAAACCGCTGCGGAGCAGTCTGGTTTTGTGCTGTCCATTGTGCTAGCCTTGAGGCTTTCTGGACCCCCGTGTTGCTGAAAGAACCACTGGTGTGCTTCTTTTTATCGACACTGTAGAAAGAGTTTGTTCATGTGATGAAGCACTAATGGGGCTCACTCTCCATCCAGACAGTGGTCTTGAGGTGTTAGCAGTGCAGCGGGTATCGAAGACGCAGGCTTGGCAGCGCACAGGGAGGGCTGGCAGAGAGGACAGTGGCATCTGCTACCGGCTCTACACGGAGGACGAGTTTGAGAAGTTTGATAAGATGACCGTGCCAGAGATCCAGAGGTAGGCACCAGTTGCTCCTGCACTGCTGCTGTTTGTCACCATGTCTCTCCTGCTTGCCCAGAGCTGCAGTTTTTACTCACACTCCACCATGAGGGGTTCTGACTCAATGGCAGAGGGATCAGGTCATGACCCTGGTCTCATGCTCTTCACAGGTGTAACCTGGCCAGTGTGATGCTTCAGCTTCTAGCAATGAAAGTCCCAAATGTGCTCACCTTTGACTTCATGTCGAAGCCATCTCCAGGTAAGTGAAATCCACAGTTTTGCAGAAGGTGGGTGAGGAGACAAACAACAACAAATGGACACTTCCAAAAAAATAAAGTATATTGGTCATCTCCTTTTGTTTATTTAATTTTGTGGATGACAACATTAGTTATTAGAGAAGCATCTGAAAATCATGAAATGATAGATAGATACATTGATTGACTTTTAAAGAGACAGGGTCTCACTGTGTGGCCCAGGTGGAGGTGCAGTGACTATTCACAGGCTCCATCACAGCCTCCAACTCCTGGGCTCCAGCGATCCCCCCGCCTCAGCCTCCCAAGTAGCTGGGACCACAGGCATGCGCCAGTGTTCCTAGCTATGAAACGATAGATTCTGTACTATCAGCACCATCAATAAAGTTCCTTGACCTCTGGAACCAGTGAAGGTCATCATGCGAGTCCTTGGGATACTACAGAAATGTAATGAAATTGTACTTTTATCAGCACAGGGACTGCAAAGATCACATTTCTTTGCCTTTAACTGGAATTTGATCCATCTCTCCTGTTCATTAGTAATTTCTCTACAGAAGAAGAAAATAATTGGAAATATTTATGATATTGGCTTTGGCACCTGGCCTCTCATCAACGCACCATTTTCCTTTTCTTTTTATTGCCCCCCCTTTTCTTAAGAAATGCAATTGGTTTAAAAAAGAAGGAAAGAAAACACAAAGTCACCAGTTGATGGGTATACAAGGGTCCTGCCCTGATCCTCAGGTTCACAGTTTCCTTCCCCTAGAACAACCACTGGAACCATTTTCTAGTAGACTTCTAGAGCAAATGTATGCATATATGAGTATATGTAGTGTGTTTGATTTTATTTATGTATTTATTTATTTATTTTTGAGACAGGGTCTCACTCTGGTTGTCCAGGCTGGAGTGCAGTGGCACATTCTCAGCACACTGCAGCCTCAACCTCCCGGGCTCAGGTGATTCTCCCACATCAGCTTCCCAAGTAGCTGGGACTACAGGTGTGAGCCACCAAGCCCCTGCTGTAGTATGTTTTTGTTTTTGTTTTTGTTTTGAGACAGGGTCTCACTCTGTTGCCCAGGCTGGAGTGCAGTGGTGCGATCCCAGCTCACTGCAACCTCCACCTGCCGGGTTCAGGTGATTCTCCTGCCTCAGCCTCCCGAGTAGCTAGGACTACAGGTGTGCACCACCATGCCCGGCTAATTTTTGTATTTTTTAGTATAGATGGAGTTTCACTATGTTGACCAGGCTGGTCTTGAACTCCTGACCTAGGTGGTCCGCCCACCTCGGTCTCCCAAAGTGCTGGGATTACAGGCGTGAGCCACCACGCCCAGCCTGTAGTATGTTTTAAAACACAAATAGCAACACACATTGAGTATTGTTCTGTGCTTGATTTTTTTTCTTTCATTGCTAAATTCTTACATACAAATGAAGAAGATACATAAGGTGTAAGGAATGGTTAAAATCTAACACCTGTGTACCCAATTGAAGCCCCCAGGAGTCCCCCCCACCCACTTGCCCTCGCCTCCTTCCACTCTTTTGGGGTACCCACTCTTCCATATTTTGTTTGTAATTGCCTTGCTTTTCTTCACTGTTTTACTATATGCGTATGTATCCCTAAACCACCTGTTGTTTGTAAGTTTATGTTAGTTATTCTTGAGTAAGCGGTTTTCATTCAGCTTGTTCCGTATAGTATATTTGTGCTGATGCTTTTTCACACTAAGTGCTATTCCATTCTGTGAATAAACCAAAATGCATTTATCCATCCTTCAGTTGATAAATATTGCTTTAAAAAAGCAATGAGAAACACACTGCTTTTTTTCATTTAATACATTTTACAGATCACTCCTTATTGGGATGTATATATTTACTACATCCTTAGAAATGCTTTTTTATTCTTTAATAGGTACTATATTTACATGGTTCAAAGTTTAAAATATATAAAATAGTAAATAGTAATAATGTCCTTCTCATCCCCTTGTCTCCCAGCCTCCCCAGCTGGCCCCTGAGACAACTGCTATTTCCACTGTTATGTGTTTGGTTCTGGCGATATGGTCTCTGTGCGATGTGTATCTGCAGGTGAAATTCGTAAGTGTAACATTGCTGGGTCAGATGTTACACTTTTAATGTGTATATTCAAAATCTACATACATATTGCCAAATTACAGGTCATTTAAAAAGAAAATTGAGGCTGGGCATGGTGGCTCACACCTGTAATCCTAGCACTTTGGGAGGTCAAGGTGGGCAGATCACCTGAGGTCAAGAGTTTGAGACCAGCCTGGCTAACATGGTGAAACCCCGTCTCACTAAAAATACAAAAATTAGCTGGGCGCGGTGGTGGGCGCCTGTGGTCCCAGCTATAGGGGAGGCTGAGGCAGGAGAATCGCTGGAACCCAGGAGGCAGAGGCTGCAATGAGCCGAGATCACGCCATTGCACTTCAGTGTGGGCAACAGAGCAAGACTCTGTCTCAAAAAAGAAAAGGGAATTGAACTAAAGACAGTGATGTCGTTCTTTGACAAGTGTGTCAAGGGGGCAGTGGCGGTTATGATTTTTGCTGTTGTTTGATGTAGAATTATCAGAAGCTCCCAGAAATACTGAACTAGCTGCAACTTCATTTTTTTGGACTTTTGGCTCCTTTTTATGTCTCTGTTTCTTTAGATCACATTCAGGCGGCCATTGCCCAACTGGACCTGTTAGGTGCTCTTGAACATAAGGATGACCAGCTTACCCTGACTCCAATGGGAAGAAAGATGGCAGCATTTCCTTTAGAACCCAAATTTGCCAAAGTAAATGATACCCTCTCC
Organism: Homo sapiens; assembly: GCF_000001405.40. Lineage (NCBI taxonomy): Eukaryota > Metazoa > Chordata > Mammalia > Primates > Hominidae > Homo > Homo sapiens. The sequence goes on along the minus strand of NC_000017.11, from coordinate 5,450,788 downwards.
TCAGTCCTCTTTCTGTACATTACAGTTAACCGTCCCAAAGTAGTACCATCTACCCAGTGCTTCTAGATTAATCTCACTTTTTCTCTTACATAATTACCAACCCCTAGTTTGCAAATAGCCCTGATTCATGTTCAGTGTGGGATTCAAAGAGATGAAGTTAAGAGCCCCTACCCACAAGAAATTTGGAACTCTGTAGGGAAGGCAGTCACCTGTTTTATTGAATATTAAAGAGTGAAATAACACTAATGTACATCGCCATGGTTTTAGAAATACCTGCCCTTTAACTCCTTAGAAGGGAAACTGCAAAAGCAATGTACAGAAATAGTGCATTCTAAAGCTAGGAGAAAGCTGGGTTTACACAATTTTAAATTTTGCTTTGCAGACCATCCTCATGTCCCCCAAATTCCACTGTACAGAGGAGATCCTGACCATTGTCTCCCTGCTGTCTGTGGACAGCGTCCTCCACAACCCTCCTTCCCGGCGAGAGGAAGTGCAAGGGGTCCGCAAGAAGTTCATATCCAGCGAGGGGGATCACATGACCCTGCTCAATATCTATCGGACCTTCAAAAACCTAGGCGGAAATAAGGTGAGCCTTGTCTTGCACCTGTTCTCCAGCGATAGCTGCTTGTCTCTGCTATGTGCTTCCCTTTTTCTACTGAAGCCGTGCAAAAAGTACGCTTTCCCTTTTTGGCTAAATTATCTAAAGAATCACAAAAAGAAAGCCAGACAGCATTTCAGAAATGCTTCAGTACCGAAGCAGTGTCATTCTGGTCTCTGTTCCGAATGTGTTTAAGTCAACAAGACTTAAGTGACTCCCAACCCATCAAAACTTAATTGGAACTTGATTAAGTAATATGTCTAATAATGATAGTGCGTACCAATGAATGAGTACTTACTCTGTGCCAAGCCCCATGCTAAGCACTTCTTAATGTAAGATCTCATTTATTCAGTAAAGTAATCCTAAGAAATGAGCACTATAATTATTATTTTTTATATTCATGAAACATGTAGTCATGGAAACGAAGCTTCGTGCAGTTGAAAAACTTGCCCAGGGCCAGGCACAGTGTCTCAAGCTTGTAATCCCAGCACTTTGGGAAGCCAGGGCAGGTGGATCACTTGAGCCCAGGACTTCCAGACCAGCCTGGCCAACATGGCAAAACCCCGTCTCTACTAAAAATACAAGAATTAGCCGGGCGTGGTTGTGCATACCTGTAATCCCAGCTACTCGGGAGGCTGAGGCATGAGAATCATTTGAACCTGGGAGGCAGAGGTTGCAGTGAGCCGAGATCGTGCCACTGCACTCCAGCCTAGGTGACAGAGCGAGACTCTATCTATCTCCAAAAAAAGAAAAAAGAAAGAAGTCTTACATAAATTGACTGGGCATTTCTGTTTTGTTTTCTGTGTCTGTTCATATCCTTTGTCCATTTTTCTACTGGGTCGTTGGTCTTTTTCTTAATGACTTGTAGAACTTTTAAAATCAATTCTAGAGATTCTAATCATTTATTGGGTATGATGAGACAAATATCCCAATCTGGGAAACTTCAAGTTTTTCTTTAGTTTAAATTATTAACACTTTTCTTATAGTTCATGTTTTTTGATATAAAGATATTTTCCTACGTTTCTTTTTGGCACCTGAAGTTTTTTCTCTGAATTCAACTGTGTTCTAAAAATGTTGTTATATTTTCTCTATAGAGATGAGAGGATTGTTAGCTGGGCATGGTGGCATGTGCAGATAGTTCAAGCTATCTGGGAGGCTGAGGTGGGAGGATTGGTTTGCAGTGAGCTATGATTGTATCACTGCACTCCAGCCTAGGGAACAGAGCAAGACCCCGTCTCTGTGAACATATAAATGGTGAATGAGTGGATTGTGATATCACTCTTTCTCCTATTCAGGATTGGTGCAAAGAGAATTTTGTCAACAGCAAGAATATGACGCTGGTAGCAGAAGTCAGAGCACAGCTGAGGGACATCTGCTTAAAGGTATCGTCTGGTCCTAGTGTTCTGTGGGTGACAAAGCTGTCACTTTGTTCAAGGTAGAAATTTTGAAGTTGCTTATTGCTAGTGATTATAAAAGGATTTCTCATTGTAGCAAATTTCACAAATAAGAAAAAAGGAAGTTACCCACAATTCCACAATTCAGTAGTTTAGCCTATTTCCTAATAGCCTAGTTTTTATTGTATTTTTTTACATAGTAAATTATATGTATAATTTATATTTGGTTTTATAATCTTTATAAGCATTTTCCAGTGTTAGAATTCTTCATAAGATTTTTTTTAAGTATGAATATCTGCATTATTTCCTTTTAGATTACCAAAGTTGTGTATAGTATTTGACACAATGCAGAAAATAGTGATTTATAATGTAGAAAGTTTAAAAGTCTCCCATAATCCTGCCCCTCCAGAGATAACTACTGTTAACAGTTTGGGGTAGCTCCTTCTAGAATTTGTTTCTGTGTATGTATGTTTTTGTGCATGTCTCTGTGCCTGTGTGTGAGCACACACATAACGGATACGTGCATATGAGGTACATGTTCCACAACTTCCTTTCTTCCACATGGCATATTTCTTTCTTTCTTTCTTTCTTGTTTATTATTTGAGACAGAGTCTTGCTCTGTCACCCAGGCTGGAGTGCAGTGGTACCATCTTGGCTCACCACAGCCTCCGCTCACTGCAACCTCTGCCTCCCGAGTTCAGGTGATTCTCCTGCCTCAGCCTCCCGAGTAGCTGGGATTACAGGCGTGCGTCACCACGCCTGGCTAATTTTTGTATTTTTAGTAGAGACGGGGTTTCACCACGTTGGCCAGACTGGTCTCGAACTCCTGACCTCAGGTGATTTGCCCGCCTCGGCCTCCCGAAGTGCTGGGATTCCAGGTGTGAGCCACTGTGCCTGGCCTCACATGCGTATTTCTCAAATCCTTCCTGTGGCTGGGCTTTCAGTGCTGCATGTGTCTAGCTCATTCATTTTAGTGATTTCATAGCATTTCATTGTATTCAGTGCAGTTTATTTAAGCCTCTAATAATGGTCATTTAGATTCTGTTGTAGTGACCATCCTCCGTATGTGCTGTGGTGCACACAGAATGAATTTCTAGATGGGGGAATTTGGATTTTGTTAGATATTGCCAAAGTGTCCACCGCAAAGTGTTTTTTTTCCTTTCTTTTTTTTTGAGACGGAGTTTTGCTCTTGTTGCCCAGGCTGGAGTGCAGTGGCGCGATCTTGGCTCACCACAACCTCTGCCTCCCGTGTTCAAGCAATTCTCCTGCCTCAGCCTCCCGAGTAGCTGGGACTACAGGCATGACCCACCACACCCGGCTAATATTTTGTATTTTTAGTAGAGACGAGGTTTCACCATGTTAGCCAGGATGGTTTTGGCCTCCCAAAGTGCTGGGATTACAGGCGTGAGCCACCACGCCCGGCCTAATTTTTTGTATTTTTAGTAGAGACGGGGTTTCACTATGTTGGCCAGGCTGGTCTCGAACTCCTGACCTCAGGCGATCCACTGGCCTTGGCCTCCCAAAGTGCTGGGGTTCCAGGTGTGAGCCACTGTGCCCGGCCCACAAAGTTTTATATTAGCTTTTTATTCCCTCTTAGAGTACATGGTGTTTTAAAGAGCTGTCATGGTATATTTAATGCTCGCATGACACTCCACATTTTATGTCAGAGATAGAGGGTAGCGGAAGTGTTCTTTTGCTGTTGATCACTGAGACAGTGTCCGTGTGTTTGCTGCTGTCCTGAGTACTCTGTGGTGAATGTCTTGTGCCCCCTCAGTGCGGACGCTGCTGGGAGACAGTCACAGCCTGTACCCAGGCCTGTGTCTGATGCCAACGGCCTACGGTTGGCACTAGAGCTGTTTCTTCTCATAGTAGCCTATTGTATTCTGTCTTTCACACATTTTTTTAAACTGCTTTTGTATTTGAACAGTTTCCTGCCAGTCTGTCTCTTGGCTTCATAAGTTTTCTCAATTTATCATTGACAGTAGAAACGGTGCTTCTCTATTAGTTGTGAATTTAGGACCCTGTAGTGGCCAGGGATACCTCTCATTATATGTCAGGCACTGGTAAGGTCCTGAGACTTTACAGACATGCCTACTCAGTAACTAAGTAATAATCTAGATGGTGACCTGACGTACATACACTCATGCCAGGAGGCCATCAAATTAAAATAATCACTATCATTCATGAAGTGTTTGTTCAGCACTGTTCTGAGTACTTTTTATGTGGCTGCCTTATTTAAACTCCTCATTTCTTTTTTTTTCTTTTTCAACTCAGACCTTAACCCAAAGGATAAAATCCTCATTTCAACCTATAAGATTGATTCTTTTGTTATTCCCATTTTACAAATGATGAAACTAAGCCTAATCAGGTTAAATAATTTGCCCCAAATCACTCAGCCAGTGAGTGGTAAAGCTGATAGTCTGGAAGGAGAGACCACCAGTTAGCCTCTGGGGCTTCTTGGAGGTGGTGACAACTGAGCTAGATCTTGACAGATAAGGAGATAAAAGAGTATCTTCCAGGCCAGGTGTGGTGGCTGGCTTATGCCTCTAGTCCCAGCACTTTGGGAGGCCCAAGCAGGTGGATTGCTTGAGGCCAAGAGTTCGAAATCAGCCTGACCAACATGGTGAAACCCCATCTCTGCTAAAAATACAAAACTAAGCTGAGCGTGGTGGTGCATGCCTATAACCCCAGCTACTCAGGAGGCTGAGGCACAAAAATCGCTTGAACCCAGGAGGCAGAGGTTGCCAGCGAGCTGGGATTGTGCCACTGCACTCCAGCCTGGGCAACAGAGTGAGACCCTGTCTCTTAAAAAAAAGTATCTTCTTCAGGCATAGATCAGCTGATTGTCAACAACAGAAACCCTAGAGCCATCATAAAGGACAAAATAAAGATTCTTCCAAGGATGGAAAGGTATCTCTGAGAACCGATAGGCAGGAAATAGAGTCACAGGAACCAGAAAAAGCCTGCAGGAGCCAGGCCCGCCACTTTCTCTGGACCTGCTGCTTCTCTTGCTTTGAGTGCCCTCTGCGTGCCTCCTTCCCTTTTCTCACCTTTACCTCCGCATGGAAGTGATTTCTCTGCATGGCCCCTCCACTCAAGAGCCCAGCAGAGATTGACAAGTTTTCCAGTTTCAAACCTAAAAGATGCCTGGAAGAGAAAAGCTGGCCAGCTTAGGTCCAGCGTGTGTGTACCACTGGTTTGTTCATCTGTGCCCAGGGGCGTAGGTTACATGCCCCACTCATCAAGAGCAGTAGAACAAGGACATTGACTGGTGACTGACATTTCCTCTGATGAGACAGGCAGCATTTCTACTAAGAGTAGCAAATGTGAAGGCACAGATAGGAATCATGAAACGGGGCGAGGAAAGAGAAGGCAGCCAGCTATGGGGGACCATGGAGTGTCTAAAGAAGAGTGGTGAGGCCGGGCGCGGTGGCTCACGCCTGTAATCCCAGCACTTTGGGAGGCCAAGGCGGGCAGATCACTTGAGGTCAGGAGTTCAAGACCAGCCTGACCAAAATGGTGAAACCCCGTTTCTACTAAAAATACAAAAATTAGCCAGGCGTGGTGGCAGGCGCCTGTAATCCCAGCTACTTGGGAGGCTAGGGCAGGAGAATAGCTTGAACCTGGGAGGTGGAGGTTGCAATGAGCTGAGATTGCGCCATTGCACTCCAGCCTGGGTGACAGAGGGAGACTCAGCCTCAAAAAAAAAAAAAGAAAGAAAGAAAAAGAGCGGTGAGAGGAAAGACAGGCGAGCAGCTCAGGGTGGCTCCTTCGTGGCTTCACCACGGGAAGTTTGCATTGTTTTGCAAGGAGCAGTAGAGACATTGTTGAAGGTATTTGAGTGGATGAAGAGTGATTCGAGTTGTGCTTTAGGTAGATTAGCTTGGCAGCAGCAGGTGGGTGAATCGGAGTGAGGAGATGGTGAGATGGTCAAAGCGAGAGGGAAGGGCCTTTCCTTTCCGGGCCGTCCTGATGGAATTTAGGTGAGGGGTGGGTCACCCAACCTGCCTGTGGTCTGGTGGCTAATGTGAGCACCTCCCTCCCAGCCCTACCTTCACAGGCGGTAGTTTCCCTGTTTCTGGTCCGTGCTCCTCCAGCTGGGCCTTCTTCCCCTGACCTTGCTGATCCTTGGTGACCACCTCCGAATGTCAGAATCCACATCGTTAGGCTCACAATGTGGGCTGCTTTTGCCCCAGTGGGTCCAGTTGCCCCAACACGCTGTGTAGTGCTGACCAGTGTTTACGTGTGGGGTCGGCTCCATTCCTCGCTTTCTCCCGAAACAGATGTCAATGCCAATCGCATCATCCCGAGGAGACGTGGAGAGTGTCCGCCGCTGCCTGGCTCACAGCCTCTTCATGAGCACCGCCGAGCTTCAGCCAGATGGCACCTATGCCACCACGGACACCCACCAGCCAGTGGCCATCCACCCGTCGTCTGTCCTCTTCCACTGCAAGCCGGCCTGCGTCGTGTACACTGAGCTGCTCTACACCAACAAGTGCTACATGCGGGACCTCTGCGTCATAGATGCACAGTGGCTGTACGAGGCTGCCCCTGAGTACTTTAGGAGGAAGCTGAGAACCGCCAGAAACTGAGCCGCCCCAGGATGCCGCCAGAATCACTGGTCCCTGGGAGCTTGGACTACAGTTGTCCTTACAGCAGGCTTCCAGGTTGGCGCTTAGAGAAGCCTTGGAATCAGCTGAAGGTGCCTGACTTCCAGGAGCGTGAAAGCATCTTTGCTCAACTCCTGGGACTGAACCATATAGACATGGACATATCATTTGTACCTGGAAACCTCAAAATTATGCTTTTGGTTCTTACTGGGTGACTTTGACTTAATTTAACACCTGAGCCTCAGTTTTCTCATCTGCCAAATGGGAGTAATAATAATAATCCTTATAAAATTGGGTTCATAAAGTTTAGAGAAAAGGAATGGAAAGTACCCAGAACTATGCCTGGAGCACGCACGACACACGTACAGTGAGTTGGGAGCCGTTAGGCTGAATGTTACTGCTTGCCATATGATGTGAAGTACAGCAATATCCCAAGTTCTTGTGACTGAGGGAGATTTTCTGGAAGGGCCACAGGAGGTTGCGGAGCTTGGATGTTGCCCTTAGTTCTTGTTTAATGTCTCTCTGAATGCAGTTTTAAAATAGAAAACAAAACTGACTTCTGTAGAAGTTTCCAGAGGGAGGTGCTGTTATCTCGTACCTCCTGGGATGGCGATCCCTACTGAACGCTTGTGTCTCAGGGTGGACCACTCTGTGTCTGTCTCCAAGCAGAGACCAGTAAAGGAGCCTCCTGGTCCTCAGTGCGTGACCCTGTCAGTGCTTTCAGGAGACATGTAAGCTTCCTGGGTGAAGGTTGATTTGTACCTTCTGAATCCTGTCACGTGTAGACATGGGAAACTGACCTATCAGTGTTTTGTGTGTGTAGGTGACTCCCACATACACAGTTGCCATTTTTCTCTCTAACTGGGCACCAGTGAACATGCGGGCATGAGGAGTGACTGTGTACCATTTCAGCTGTTTCTTTTCGGGCAGTCCCCTGGTCAGAGGGGGTGGGGGTGGGGGAGGGGAGAGGGGTACCTAGAACCCAGAGAACATTGGCTTATGCCAGATACCACACCACATCTGGGCTTACATTCTTGTATCTTTTTTGGTGTGTGGGCGGGGGGGGTGGGGGGCAGTTCAGTGAAGTCTAGAAGACCTGCTGGACAAATTCTAAAAGAGCTAGAGCTGTAACACTTATTCTTGCATCTTATTAATTTTCTATGATATTTTTTCCTTCTTCGTAGGGACTTGGGACAATCTGGCTTTGCTGCTTTCTAACTGCTAGGCACCTCTCTCTAACCCTCATTGTCAGAGGGAATTGGAGGATATCCACAGTCTGTTCCTGTTCTGATATTCTGAGCAGAGAAAAGGCACTAACGGTTCCTCTTAGCTATTTAATTATCAGAAGCAAGTAATCTTTCCCCAGATAATATTTTGCCCTAGAAGAAGCCGTGATTTAGCTCTTTTATTGTGCTTACTTGGTCCAAATACATCTGTGGGGTGTTTTGTCATTTCTTAATGAATGAATCATAGTTATAACCAGGGGCCAAGCTGCCCAAGAGGCTCTTCAGAGATCATGGATGCTCTCTTTCTGGAAGCTGTGGCCTGATGGAGCAGCCCCATTCCAGGGTCCCATCTGTCCGGAGTTGTGTATGTCAAGTCCGGCTCAGTCTTTATTTCCAACACTAGCCGTGGTCCTGTGCAGTCAAGCTCTCAGCTAGTGTTTAGGGCTGTCTGTCAGAAATGGTTATACGTGGGCAAAAGAAGATCTGACAGCTCCTATATACCTTATCTTACTGAATTCTTAAACTTTGAACCAGTTCTTCCACTTACTGACTTGTTACCACTGCTGACTTTCTGAAAAGTTTTCCAGTTTTTGTTTTTTGTTTTTTGTTTTCCAGTAGGGGATTAGAATGTTTAGTCCTACTTAGTAAGAAAAATATTGTATTTTTAATCATTCATAGTGCTGGTAAAAAAAAAAAAAAAAAAAAAAAAATTGGGGGGTGGCCGGGCGCAGTGGCTCACACCTGTAATCCCAGCACTTTGGGAGGCCAAGGCGGGCGGATCACCTCATGCCTGTAATCCCAGCATTGGGATGGGAGGCTGAGGTGGGTGGATTGCTTGAGAAGTTCAAGACCAGCCTGGCCAACATGGCAAAACCCCGTCTCTACTAAAAATAGAAAACTTAGCTGGGCATGGTGGCACACGCCTGTAATCCCAGCTACCGGGGAGGCTGAGGCACAAGAATTGCTTGAACTTGGGAGGCAGAGTTTGTAGTGAGCCAAGATCACGCCACTGCATTCCAGCCTGGCCGACAGTGTGAGACGGTCTCAGAAAAAAAAAGAAAGAAAGAAAGAAAAAGAAAAAACTTGGGGTAATTTATGTCCAGCTTAAGTACCTGAACAGTTTCCGGAAATGTATATTTTTTTTCTGAGAGGCAAAGGATGTAAACAGCTTCTAAGTAGCTTTAATGTTTCTGTACAGAAATAAGTTTATCCCTGTAACATTGTGGTAGAGTTTTAATACAGTATTTAGTTTTTTATTGGGCTTTTTTAAAAAGTTAACTTTTAACATAGCTGCTCAGGGATTAAATCAGATTGGAAAACCCATTCTGACTCCACATACTGCTACAAAGAAATACATCGTTGTTTATATTGAGCTGCAGGAGATAGTACACTTTAAACTTAAGAAAGTTAAATGTTTCACAATAACATTGCAATATAATCTTCAGCTACTCTCTTTCCATTGGTAAAATCTCTGATGGTGTGATAACTCTTTGCCAACCTACGAAACCCATATCTGGAAGAATCACCAGCTCCCGTGAGCAGCTTCATGTAAATAGATGCACTCCAAGCAGATTGCATGCCTCAGGTGTTTGTCTTCTAGTAATCATGGAGTGTGCAACACCCAGAGTAACACTACAAGGGGCAGGACTGCAAACAGCAGGTCCTGGCTAAAAACCCTTAATGCTGCATTGCTGCCAGTTGTAAAGAGATGCCTGAATGGAGGCAAGTTCTGCCCTGTGGGTGAAACTGATGATGTACTGTACTGTCATATATAAATCCACTAAATCCAGCTACCAGGAACTGCCTGGAACTGTGGCCATGCATTTTTTTTTTTCTTTAAAGACCAGTGTGATAGTAGGCCATGCATCTGAGATACGATATTCCTTGGTAACTAGAGGGAGAAAAAAAAATCAAGTAGGTTCAGGCTTATGTTGTATTTTGAGAGTCTGGTTTTATTTGAACAGAAATAACTCTACAGAAAGCTCTTGTAAATAATGCTCAAATTTGCACCCGACGATCAAATCCATTAAAAATGAATCTTGTATATGATGTGTGTGGCTTGTTTCTTGCATCTCTTTTCCATTATTCATAGAAAATTATTTAGAAAATATTAAGTGTTAGTCTTACCATGAGTTAGTAAGACATACCTTCTTAGTAGCTTATATGTCCTGTATATCCTGGGAAGGTAGGATTGTTGATTTTTAATAAATCTGAACCCTGTCTTTGGGTTATATTAATTTACTGGAGAAACTCACAGAACTCAGGGAAACACATTTACCGGTTTCATACAAAAGATATGACCAAGGATACAGATAAGGAGATGAGCAGGGTGGGGAATGGGGAAGAAGCTCCCAGCCTCCATGCCGTCCCTGGACCACCACCCTCCAGGAACCTCCATGTATTTAGCTATCAGAGGCTCTCCAAACCCTGTCCTCGGGTTTTTATGGAAGCCTCTGGACTTATCTAAATGATATAAGCTGGCTTCTTGTCCCCAGAAAAATGATGTTCCATTAGAACTTGGATGCAAGGTTGGAGGTGCAGAGAGGGAAGGTCACAAAAATTAATCATGGATCCTGCCCTTGAGGATGTCACAGTCTGGTTGGGTTTAACCTGGTTAAAGCAGCAACGCTAGGAGGTTCCTGTTGAAAAGAGAATGAAGCATATGGGCTGGGTGCGCACAAGCATGAGTTCCGAGCCGGTGGAAAAAAAGGTTCTAGAAGGCCTCTTTCAGGAAAACCCTCAGACTTTCCTTTGCTCTCACAACACAACAATCAACACAGAAGACTTATGTGGCCAAAGGTTTGGGTTTTTCCCCTCCACACTAAGCAGCAGACACCAGCTGGGTGTCCTCCAATTCAATCCCAACAGTATCTACCTGGAGATAGTGTCAGATCCCATAGGTTGAGGGCTCAGTCCCCAAGACCGCCCCCACCTTCAGACAGCAATGGCAAGTCTGGGCCTCTGAAACTTCCGACCAACCCGCTTCAAGTTGGGGTTCCCACGACCCCCCTCTTTGGATTATGTTAACTCACTGGAGCAGTTCACAGAACTCAGGGAAACACATTCACCGGTTTCATATAAAGGATATGACCAAGGATACAGATGAGATGAGCAGGGTGGGGAATGGGGAAGAAGCTCCGAGGTTCCTTGCCTACCCTGGGCCACCACCCTCCAGGAACCTCTACGTATTCAGCTGTCAGAGGCTCTGCAAACCCTCTCCTCTTGGGTTTTTATGGAAGCTTCTGGACATCAGCATCCCTTCCCCCAGGGTATATGGTGGGACCTTCTCTGGGAAGGGACTTAAGACCCATAATCAGAAATGTGGAAGGAGATTAGAGTCCTGCTTTGGGGCAGGTAAAAGGAGGGCAGGAGAAGGGGAGAGTCTGTTTCCTGAGGCCTAACACACCCAACATTATCACAGAACATTGTAACAAGGGCTATAGGAGTTACGACCCAGGAACTGTGGATGAAAACCAATACATATATATATCATAACACCACAGCCTCCTAGAGGAAAGTGACCGTGGAAGGGTCTGGTGAGAGCTGGCGGGAGACAAGAGTGCATTCCACGCAGCCCAAAAGCCTTGCGTGCTTTGAGAACAGCAGGTGGAAAGTGGGTAAGCGGCCACTAGAGGGAATTAAACAGCTTCGGACAGCGGACTCGGCAGCGCAGCAAGAAAGCTCCGGAATCCGGATTCGAGGCTTCCCGGGCTGCACCGGAGTCTCCAGCAGAGGGCGCGATTCCGCCCGCTGGCCTTAGGTCGTCAGAGCGCCGGCGCGGGAAGCGCTTCCGGGCAGGGGCGGGGCTTCCGGCGGCGCCTCAGGTCGCGGGGCGCCTAGGCCTGGGTTGTCCTTTGCATCTGCACGTGTTCGCAGTCGTTTCCGCGATGCTGCCTCTGCTGCGCTGCGTGCCCCGTGTGCTGGGCTCCTCCGTCGCCGGCCTCCGCGCTGCCGCGCCCGCCTCGCCTTTCCGGCAGCTCCTGCAGCCGGCACCCCGGCTGTGCACCCGGCCCTTCGGGCTGCTCAGCGTGCGCGCAGGTTCCGAGCGGCGGCCGGGCCTCCTGCGGCCTCGCGGACCCTGCGCCTGTGGCTGTGGCTGCGGCTCGCTGCACACCGACGGTGAGGTTTAGCGGGCCGGGGGTGTGGTTTGCGTTCAACAGAGGGAAAACGTAGACCAGGAATAGGGCCTGCAACCGACCTCTGAGGTCTGGGACATTTTTCCATTGATTGGCAACCAGCGGGCTAAACCCACGTATGATCATATTTCCCCCACCTCCCCTATCCAGCAGTTTCGTTTTCTTTTGGTAGGGGGTGAATAAAATTAAATACTAGGGTACCTTTTTCCTTAGTCTTATTCTATCGAAAGTGGACCTTTGGGAAGGCCCATGGTCGTGGTTGAAAATAGCATAGTTATATCGTTTGGCAAGTGGAAGAGGATTGGAAATTCTCCTGGTTTATAGCGGAAAGTGGTAATGCGTTCATTGTTGGAAATCACTTTTCCAGAATCAGGCTCAGCTTCCTACTACTATTATGGTATTTTTACCGATAAGGAAACAGGCTTCTAGAGTAACCGTAATAGCAGAGAGATTAGAAACAGTCCAGGTTTCTGGCTGCAATAACCTGGGTAATAGTTTTATGTTTTAGACTAACTGGCTTTCCTTTTTATGTATCTGGATTTCTTTTCTAGGAGACAAAGCTTTTGTTGATTTCCTGAGTGATGAAATTAAGGAGGAAAGAAAAATTCAGAAGCATAAAACCCTCCCTAAGATGTCTGGAGGTTGGGAGCTGGAACTGAATGGGACAGAAGCGAAATTAGTGCGGAAAGTTGCCGGGGAAAAGTAAGTACTGGTCTGGGGATCCCAGGGCAGCAACTCCCTTAACCTTGCAGGACCCATCCTGGGTCATCCCCAGAAGAGCCTTGAGTTCAGGTGTGGATACTTTGATAAATGGGTTTCAAGAGAGTGAAGGATTCATTTGGACAACTTCGTAAGCCCCAGGCAGTCCATTCACCGAACACAAATTTGCTGTGGGCTGGTTACTAAGGAGACAAAAATGTAGTGCAAAAAAGTACTGGCAGAATCAGTTTGATCTCTGATTTACAGCCCTGATAAAATAGGACACTGCTCTCTAATGTTTAGTATGGGTGAAAATGAAAAATATGTAACTTCTATGTAACAGGATGGGGTTACACTGTAGTAAGGGCTGCCATCAGAGGTGGGGAGTTTGTGACCTAAGTCAGCTCCCCCATCATCTCCTAAACTGTTAAAGTGTTTACACTTTTCTGCATTATAGTCATCCATAATCTCATTACACAGATAAACATTTGGCATCTTCCAGGTTTTTAAATTGAGCCTGGGCGCGGTGGCTCACACCCATAATCCCAGCACTTTGGGACGGGCAGATCATGAGGTCAGGAGAAAATCCTGGCTAACACTAAAACCCTGGCTCTAGTAAAAATTAACCGGGTATGGTGGCACGTGCCTGTAGTCCCAGCTACTCGGGAGGCTGAGGCAGGGGAATCGCTTGAACCTGGGAGGTGGAGGTTGCAGTGAGTCGAGATCGCGCCACCGCGCTCCAGCCTGGGCAACAGAGCAAGACGCCATCTCAATAATAAATAAATAAATTGAATTTCCTTCATAATTGACCTTATGATGTGTATGTAATTTTTTTAAATCACAGCTTTTATGAGATTTAATTGAGATGGCATACGATTTACCCATTTATTGAAGTTTATTAAATTAAGTGGTTCTTAGTCCTCGCAGAATTATGCATCAGTTATCACTACCTAATTCTAGAACACTGTTGTCATCCCCAAACAATACCTATTAGCAGTCACTCATTATTCCTCCCTGTAGCCACCCCAGGTAATCACTAAGCTACTTTCTCTATGGGATTGCCTCTTTTGGACATTTCATATAAATGGAGTCATACAATTTGTAGCTTCCCCCCCCAACCCCACGGAGTCTTGCTCTGTCACCCAGGATGGAGTGCAGTGGTGCGATCTTGGCTCACTGCAACCTCTGCCTCCCAGGTTCTGACAATTCTCCTGCCTCAGCCTCCTTAGCTGGGATTACAGGCGTGCGTCCGGTTAATTTTTGTATTTTTAGTAGAGACAGGGTTTCACCGTGTTGGCCAGGCTGGTCTCAAAGTCCTGACCTCGTGATCCGCCCGCCTTGGCCTCCCAAAGTGCTGGGATTTCAGGTGTGAGCCACCCTGCCCACCCTATTTACCTTTTTAATTGTTGGGTTGTAAAAGTTAAGTTTTTCTGGGTACAACTATCTTATCAAATTAATGATTTGTAAGTACTGTTTCCCATCTTGTGGGTTTCCTTTTCACTTTCTTGGTAATGTCCTCTGACACAAAAGTTTTTAATTTTGAGGAAGTTCAGTTTACCTATTTTTTTGGTCGCTTGTGCTTTTTTATTTATTTTTTACTTTGCTTCTAATTCACCAAGTGCAACTTGTGCTTTTTTAGTGTCACGTCTAAGAAACCACTGCCTAACCCAAGGTTGTGAAGATGTATGCCTTAATTTTTTCAAAGTTTTCTAGTTTTAGCTCTTAGTTTAGGTCTGTGATTCATTTTGAATATGGTGTGAAGTAGGGTCCTGATTCTCTTGCCTGTTGCATAGTGTGTTTTTGCCCTACACAGGTCAATTGTGTCTTCTGTAATCTCACCTAAACACCATTTGCGCAAGGTTTTCATAGCTATTTGGGGGCCATTAAAAATAATGCTCTGATGAACGTCATTCAATTTCTGTGCCCAGGAGCTCAGCTTAGTCAGCACAGTTGGAATTAGACAGATTTTGTCAACCTCAGACTGCCTCTGTTGCCATGGAAAGGTGGCTTCCTGGCAGAGCAGCTAGTTAGCACAAGTGGAGGGCGGCACTTCATGTACTCTTTTTTTTTTTTTTTTTTTTCTGACAGAGTCTTGCTGTGTCTCCAGGCTGGAGAGCAGTGGCGTGATCTCGGCTCACTGCAACCTCCACCTCCCAGGTTCAAGCAATTCTCCTGCCTCAGCCTCCTGAGTAGCTGGGATTACAGGCGCGTACCACCACGCCCAGCTAATTTTTTTTTTTTTTTTTTTTTTGTATTTTTTAGTAGAGATGGAGTTTCATCGTGTTGGCCAGGATGGTCTCGATCTCTTGACCTCGTGATCTGCCCACCTCGGCCTCCCAAAGTGCTGGGATTACAGGCGTGAGCCACTGCGCCCAGCCTTCATGTACTCTTGTGTGGAATGGTGCCTGCCAGAGTTGCATAGCCCAGCAGTTTTGGTTCTAAACCTTATGTCCCAAGAATTTTGACTCAAACTTTGGAACATGATTTGTCAGGTGTGGATTCTTGCACCTTAAAATTGTCACTAGTTGGTGTGTCTGGCCTGCTTTGTGATTATGAAACTTCCCACAAGTACTCTAAGGGATGAGTCTCTACTACAGCCCTTGTTCTTTGTGAGGCATTCCCTTCCCCGTTCCAGGGCTGCTCTCGGTGTTTAGCAGAGGCACCCTCCATCGCTTCTTCCTTTCCTTGCAGGGCAAATTTTCTGACGGGGAAAGTCTCTTAAAGGGGCTTCTGTTCCATCTCACCAGCCTCTCAGGTCCTTACTTTGACCAAGGGTTCCCTGGAAAGACCAGGGTGGGCAGTGTCAGCTGGCTGTGGCCATGAGATGCCCAGTCAGCACATGGCAGTGAGCCCTGGGGTACTGGCCCTGTTGGGAGTAACCCATGCATGACTTGTTTGGCTGAGATAAACTGAGGCCAGCTTTGGCTTCCAGCAGCTGGTACATGGTAGGCACACTTCAGACCTGCTGAGTCACTCAGGATTGGATGTAGGCACCCAGCCTAGTTTGAAGTTCTGCATATAATTCAGCCAGCTAGGACAGAGACATTGTTTCAATACGCCTTTTTAACTGTAGCAGATTTCCATGTTTATGTGTTAACCTGCTCGGTTAAAACCATGCCTTGTCTGTTTTGCCTTGTCTGTTTTCCCTTGCCGTTTTAGAATCACGGTCACTTTCAACATTAACAACAGCATCCCACCAACATTTGATGGTGAGGAGGAACCCTCGCAAGGGCAGAAGGTTGAAGAACAGGAGGTAAGCTAATACTATAATCAGCTTTTACCTCAGTTCTGACAGGCTGTGCCTGGGGCTTAGAGGAGGAGCGTTTTTCTTTGGTCTTTCAAAAAAAAAAAATTCCTCTAAGTCCAGTCGCATGGCTCACGCCTATAATCCCAGCACTTTGGGAGGCCGAGACGGGCAGATCACGAGGTCAAGAGATCGAGACCATCCTGGCCAACATGGTGAAACCCCGTCTCTACTAAAAATACAAAAATTAGCTGGGCATGGTGGCAGGTCCCTGTAATCCCAGCTACTCGGGAGGCTGAGGCAGGAGAATCGCTTGAACCCGGGAGGCAGAGGTTGCGGTGAGCCAAGATCACACCACTGCACTCCAGCCTGGCGACAGAGCAAGACTCTGTCTCAAAAAAAAAAAAAAAAAAAAAAGAGAGAGAGAATGGCAGGGGCATAAGAGACTTTAACTGGATCATGCCTACTCTTCAAACATTTCAGGAAGTGCTGTGCCCAGCCTAGTAACCAGCCAGTATGAGGGCCACAGAGTCCCTAGACATTCTGCCCAAGAGCCATCAGTACAGTGTTGGGTCATGACCTGGTGTGGACGGCGCAGCTCTCTGGTGTGCTGCTTTCCCAGCCACCCCAACTAGCATCTCCCTGACGTTGGACCCAGTCTGCTCCCAGAGCTCCGCATCAGAGGAAAAGCTGCTGCTGTTATTCAGCCATAAGGATGGCCAGGTTCCCCAGCCTTTGACCCTGGTCCCTTATGAAGACTCCTGGAACAGTCAAGCTGGAAAGAGATCTTGAAACTTTAGGAAAGCTTTGCAGTGTACGGGTGGAGGAAAAGGCTTGGAATGTTAAGGGACTGATATAAACTCAGTTAATTGGCACATAGCTGAGGCTGGTATCCACATTTCTTAACTGAAAACCCAGTGTGTTATTTAACCAAGCAGGGTGCCAACAGAAGTGAGATCAAGCTCTTCATTTGGGAATAGTATGGCATAAGACTATTCAAATGGCTACATAATATCCTAATAGTGGTGGCCATCAGACACTCTGAACAGAGATCCTTGATCCAGCCATCCATCTCCTTCCAGCAGCAGCATGTATTGACTTCTTGTTTCCCCAGCCTGAACTGACATCAACTCCCAATTTCGTGGTTGAAGTTATAAAGAATGATGATGGCAAGAAGGCCCTTGTGTTGGACTGTCATTATCCAGAGGATGAGGTATGCAGGATGGAGTGCTAGCCTCTTGGCACCCCTGGGGAACAGTGTGTCCCTTGGGAACTTCCTGTCCCTATTTTAGCAGAAATTTAAACACTTTTCTAGCTTAGACCAGCCCAGCAGGGGGAGAGAGGTGGGGAGTGAGGGAAGAGGGTTAAAACCTGATGAGTTTCATGCTGTCAGTGGCCCCCTTTCTTCCCCTGAGTCTAGCTTGTCCTGGAGAACCCTTCAGTTTCCCAATATTGTTTCTTCTCAGGTTGGACAAGAAGACGAGGCTGAGAGTGACATCTTCTCTATCAGGGAAGTTAGCTTTCAGTCCACTGGCGAGTCTGAATGGAAGGATACTAATTATACACTCAACACAGATTCCTTGGACTGGGTGAGTGCTTGATAAGGTGGGGGAACCTTTTGGGCCTTGGAAGGAAGGGTCCTAGTTCAAGGGGAGAAAAAAGCATTTTAATGTTCATTACAGATTTTTTTTTAACTAGTAAATATTGTTCTTTGCAGGCCTTATATGACCACCTAATGGATTTCCTTGCCGACCGAGGGGTGGACAACACTTTTGCAGATGAGCTGGTGGAGCTCAGCACAGCCCTGGAGCACCAGGAGTACATTACTTTTCTTGAAGACCTCAAGAGTTTTGTCAAGAGCCAGTAGAGCAGACAGATGCTGAAAGCCATAGTTTCATGGCAGGCTTTGGCCAGTGAACAAATCCTACTCTGAAGCTAGACATGTGCTTTGAAATGATTATCATCCTAATATCATGGGGGAAAAAATACCAAATTTAAATTATATGTTTTGTGTTCTCATTTATTATCATTTTTTTCTGTACAAATCTATTATTTCTAGATTTTTGTATAACATGATAGACATAAAATTGGTTTATCTCCTCCAAGGCAGTTTGTCTTTTTCTATTCCTCCCCCTTCAACCTGCGTCACAAAAGACCAAGAACAGATGTCGGAAAAGTTTTTTTTTCTTCAGTATTGTTTAAAAGTTTCAATACAAAATAAGTTATAAATAAAAGGCTTGTATGTACAAGGCTCCTCAGAGGGAATGAGTTGTCTTCAACCCCATAGAATGATGTGAGTCCAAGCTGGCTCTAGAGGATCACAGCCCAAGTATCACAGGCCTAGGTTTAAACAGGAAAATAATTAGCTTAAATTGTATTCTAGTCATGAAAGATATCTGATAAAAGTTGTAATCAATGAGAATTCTACACATTAGATGAGGTCTCCTGAGTCCAGTTTCAATTAGTTCAGTAGTGTAGTTTGTCATGATGACCGCCCCTCTTTGGCATTGCTGGACCTCTGTCCTGCAGCCTTCAAACAACTGCCCTGGGAACCATCAGCATCAATAGTCTTCAAGCTAAGATCAAATCCTGTAGATGAACTAATCAAACATCCTCACCATCAGGAAACCACTGACCAGAAAGATTGTATTCAAACTCTTGATAGCCTGGAGCTTTTAGAGCCCAGCAGGAAGATGAGACTCCAAATCTACACAAGATTGAAGCAGGTATGTATCATAGGGGAGGTGCAAACCATGCATGATCAGTACGGGCAGAAAACATGTAAAGACATGATCAGTAAGCACCTGAGTGTAAAACTGCCTCCCGACTCCTGGGTGGCTCAGCCTCTCCACTATGCTAAGGAATCCAGTCTGTCCTTAACCCATTTATGCCAGAGGTTGCAAATTTTTTTGTGTGAAAAATCAGACCTTGGCGATGACCTTGAGCAGTAGGGGATCAATAACTCCCACAGGCTTAGCGTTCCAATAATTAAACAGTAGGCATAAGTGGGTTACTCTTGTTTCTTACCACTTCCACAGGTAATATGTTTGGCTTTCTCTAAAAGACACTGTAACTCTGCTAATAGGCGGTTTGGCATATTCCATCCCAGGACCACCACTTGAGCACCGCCACATCCGAAACATTCCTCGTCTTGTGATAGAGTGCAATCTTCTGTAACCCACCCCTATCTTTCAACACATCCTCAGCCATCTGTCCTGAGCGTCCCTACGTCCTGACCTCACTGGATTCTAACACAATGGTCCTTGATTCCCCCTTAAGTGAAAACCAAAGGTCTAGTGGAACTAGAGCATTCCAAATGTCTACCTTTCCAAATGTTGAACTCAAGACCTACAGAATACAATTTTGTCTTTCCCCCTCCTCTTTTTTTTTTTTTTTTAAGGCACAATCTCGCTGTCACCCAGCCTGGAGCGCAATGGCGCCCTCTCAGCTCACTGCAACCTCTGCCTCCTGAGCTCAAGCCATCCTCCCACTTCAGCCTTCCGAGTAGCTGGGAGTACAGGTGCGAGCCACCACACCCAGCTAATTTCTGTATTTTTAGTAGAGACAGGGTTTCACCATGTTGCCCAGGCTGGTCTTGAATTCCTGGCCTCAAGTGATCCTCCCACCTCAGCCTTCCTAAATGCTGGGGTTACAGGTGTGAACCACAGTGCCTGGCTGTGTTTCTCATATTTGCTGTGACCCCCACCTCCCCTCACTTACCCAACAATGGTCTTCCTGCCCACCCCAGAGCCGGCACTGTCAACTATGATCTCCAAGACTGCTGCACAGCACTCACCTTCCAAACCTCACCTCCTACTTAGCTTCACTGCTGCTCTGAGCCACAGGGCACTGACGGTTAGGTGAGTGGATAACTGGGGTCCATAACAATTATATGCTGAGCTGAAGCTGTACACTTGGCAATTAGGCCATCTTCCACTTACCTTTTAATTCCCCTTCTCTTCCCCCGACCAGCATTTTGTCTTTCACACTCAAGGGGACTTTCATACTCAAGGAGCTGTAGACTCCAGCTCTGCTACCATTATAATCTGTGTGGATGACTCACTGTTCACCTTACTAAGAAGACAGAAGCCAAAGCCAGCTGACCTGTGCCTCAACTCTCCTCCCTCCACCTTAACTCATTTGTACAAACATCTTAAGCACCTCTTTATTAATATATGCCAAGCACTGGAAATAAAAATAAATATGGGCCTTGCCCTCAAGGACAAAGACATAAGCAGGTAACTACAACACTGTTACAGGTGACATGGCATGAGGTACGGTGAAAGCCCAAGGAGAGACTGGCCAGTTCCCCTCTGCCAGCCCTCATTAGGTTTATTGAGAATGGTAACACAGACTCCAAAGGAATGGACTTCCCAGGCTGGCCAATTCTTTTTTTGTTTGTTTTGCTTTTTTTGAGATGGAGTTTCACTCTTGTTGCCCAGGCTGGAGAGCAGTGGCGTAATCTCTGCTCACCGCAACCTCCGCTTCCTGGGTTCAAGTGATTCTCCTGCCTCAGCCTCGCGAGTAGCTGGGATTACAGGTGTGTGCCACCATGCCTGACTAATTTTTTTGTATTTTTAGTAGAGACAGGGTTTCATCATATTGGCCAGGCTGGTCTTGAACTCCTGACCTCAGATGATCCGACCGCCTCAGCCTCCCAAAGTGTGGGGATTACAGGCGTGAGCCACCGCACTCAGCCACCAATTCTGTTTTTGAGACAGAATCTCACCCTGTTGCCCAGGCTGGAATCCAGCAGCACGATCTCAGCTCACTGCAACCTCCGCCTCCCGGGTTCAAGCGATTCTCCTGCCCCAGCCTCCCGAGTAGCTGAGATTACAGGCACCCACCACCATGTCCAGCTAAGTTTTGTATTTTTAGTAAAGATGGGGTTTCACCATGTTGGCCAGGCTGGTCTTAAACTCCTGACCTCAGGTGATCTGCCCACCTCGGCCTCCCAAAGTGCTGGGATTACAGGCGTGAGCCACCGTGGCCAGCTGAGACTGGCCAATTCCTTGTGAGGAATCAGGCTGAATGAAGTACACGGCATATTGTAGTGCTTGGTAAATATTTGTGCAAATGATCCTTAAATGTAGTGGGAGGAGTCAAAGTCATTCAGACAGAACAGCCTAAACAACAGCACAGAGGCCTGAAAGCACTGCATATTTGAGCATCTGCTACCAGTGCTGGATAGCTGGAACAGAAGGGAACATATGCTTGTAGTCAACAGGAAGTAGTGAGGGGTTTTATTTAAACTTTCACCTGCTATGTCTCTTTCCATACAAGCTGATGGAAAATGGCATCCTTCCACCAAGGCCTGAGCCTGGAGCAGGAAACAGCAGGGGCACTGGAACCACAAAGACCTGGGGTCTAACACCAGCTCTATCGCTTATTAGTAGTAAAATTTTGGCCAGATTACATCACTTCTCTGAATCTGTTTCCTATTCCTAACAGGAACTATCCTCTCCCTCATGAACCTAATGCTCCAGCTAAGTAGAACAAGATGCTCTTTGTATATACTCCAGTTTCCTGCTTCTCTGCCTTGTTCTTCTATGTGGGGATCTTCCACTTAAGCTCTACCCCCACAACTCACCAGATCTCCATGTCTGTCCAGATCGATTCCATGCTTCAAGGCCAAGTTAAATGCCTCCTCCAGGAAGGTGTCACCATAAAGGAGATCACCCTCCTCTGAACTCCCATAAGCCCTCCTTGTACAGCTCTCCAGGGTACTGCCTGTTTATTCTGTTCTCTTATTACCAACCCAAGGCTTGAGCTCTGTGAGAGATGTGTATTTCTCAATGTTAATGAGTCCTCAATTCATTTTTTTTTTAATGAATGAGTAGAATACCTATGGAAGAAACTTGATAAAGGTGAAATGGCTGTTACCAGGCAATGCTGCTTATAATAAAAATGACCTCTGTAGGTTAACTGCATTTGGAATGACAGGGCCATGAAGGAATTCTAAATTCCCAGTAGAAAGCCATGGCTATGAACTTCCTGAAGTACAGTGTGCTCCTAATCCCAAGGCTCCCCCTGCCTGGGATCTAAAAGCAATAATAATACGTATCATATTGGTTTTATGTGTGTTTGTGTGATATATATACACATGTACATACATACATACACATATATGGAAAGGACATGGATTATAAGAGATATTGGTTCCTATAGCACGCTTCTAAGACAGGTGGTTCCCTTACCCACTTGTGTTCCTGGCCCTCACACCTCAGTTGTCACTCAGGTTAGCGAATAGCCCTTGGACCTCTGTAAAAACTCCACTGACAGACAAACCTAATGCTGCCCTGCTATGCTTCTGCCCTGTTTCCTTCCGCAAAAGTGGTGCCAGCATGGCCTATCTGGGTCTTATGACTATGAAATGACCAGCTGAATCCAAAACCACTACTACTGATCAAAGAAGAGCAGGTGTGGAGCCAGGCGTCCTAACTCCCAGACCAATCCTCTTGCCGTGATCCCATGCTGCCTCTTCCCTTCTTTCTGACTGGCCTTTGAGTCTAAATGACTTGTTACCTTCACTTTTCTATGCAGGTAAATTCCTCAGATAATAAACTGCATTAAACATTTACCTGTTTATAGGTCATTATTTCTATCAAGGTGGGAATAAAACCAACCACAGGTCCCTCTTACCACAGAGTGGGTCCCAGGAGACGCTTACCAGACAGCTCATGAGAAGACTGGACTTTTCTTCTGTTCCTCCAGTGACTGAAAATTCAGGTGTGTGGGGACAATGTGCACTGTGCTCATTTATACTACCCTCTAAACAGGCACGAAGCTTCTGCTCTGTCAACTCAGAAGACTACAAAATAAAAAAGTTCAACCTCCTCTCAGTGACTTGATAGCCAACAGATGGAAAATCCTCATTCCTCATGCCAACCAATATAACCGTGGCTCACTGTGATGGCTTGACTCCTTGGAGCCTTAAAGACACTCGGGCCCATGACTGTACCAAGATCTCTTAACCCATCTCCATTTAACTGCCTCTCCAGATTAACCAACGCCCTCTACTCCTGCTGTCAAACACACTGATGGCCACTCATGGCAGGAAGAACGCTCAGAGATTGTAGGCTACTTTCCAGCCTCCCTCTGCCTCTGCCCCCACCAGCTGAGTGCATCCTTACCAACAACTAGCAGTATATGCTCCCGGGTCTGCTTGGGTTACTTGAACTTCCTACTGTAACTCAGTAATGCTAATTACTTATTATGTAAATAATAAGTTTTATTTTTATAGTGATAAGTAGAATGTTTAGGAAACAAACAGATGAGCTGCTTAAAAAAAAAAGAAAGAAAGAAAAAGAGCTATAGAATTAGGTAAAAGATGGGGAGGAAAAATTCCTAAGTTGTATACTCAGTTTCTTGATCCACTTTATGGAATTAAAACCGGAAACTCTGGACTATGTATTATAGAAGTTGTTTATGTAAAAAAGGTGACTCAGCGAGGCACAGTGGCTCACGCTTGTAATCCCAACACTTTGGGAGGCCAAGGTGGGCAGATCACCTGAAGTCAGGAGTTCGAGACCAGCGTGACCAACATGGTGAAACCCCGTCTCTACTAAAAATACAAAAATTAGCCAGGCATGGTGGCACGTGCCTGTAATCCCAGCTACTCAAGAGGCTGAGGCAGGAGATTCGCTTGAACTCGGGAGGTGGAGGTTGCAGTGAGCAGAGATCACACCACTGCACTCCAGCCTGGGTGACAGAGTGAGACTCTGTCTCAAATAAAATAAAAAATAAAACAGGTGACTCAGCTCTCCAATCAGCAGGGCCCCACTCAAAGGCTGGCAAATAAATTTATGTGTTTGAAACTTACCATAAAACATTTTATTTTTATAATTTGCCTCTTTAACCAATCGCTCAATTAACTGGCAAACTTGCAGTCCCCATCATGCCAGATAAAAGGGCTTTTTCTGTATTTTAAGATTACTGAAGGCCGGGCGTGGTGGCTCACACCTGTAATCCCAGCACTTTGGAAGGCTGAAGTGGGTGGATCACGAAGTCAGGAGTTCGAGACCAGCCTGGCCAAGATGGTGAAAACCCATCTCTACTAAAAATAAAAAAAAAATTAGCCGGGCGTGGTGGCAGGCACCTGTAATCCCAGCTACTTGGGAGGCTGAGGCAGGAGAATGACTTGAACCCGCAAGGCAGAGGTTGCAGTGAGCCTAAATCACGCCACTGTACTCCAGCCTGGGCAACAGAGTGAGACTCCGTCTCAAAAAAAAAAAAAAAAAAATTACTGAAGCTTAAATTCTGAATTAGGTATGTCTTCATATATAGAAAATTTTTATGAAACGTCAGATACAGGCGTTACCAATCCCAAGCTGAGGTCTCCATAAAAACGTTAAGCGGTGATGGCTCTCCAGGGCCCTAAAGGCTCTGATGTGTACTGTTTGCCAATTTTCATGCCATAGATATTCTCACCATGGCTGATTTGAAGCTACCAATGTGACACCACTGAACATAAAACTGGGAAGAAATATGCACAATGGGCTCCAAGTCAGCACTGGAGGATCTTCAAGAAAGTAGATCCATGTGGGAAGAAGTATCATGAAATCTGTGTGTGGAACACTCACATGAGATGGGATGGACAGGCCACACTGACACACCACCACACCGCTTGTGATTCTCAGGTTGTACCTAGAAGCAGAATTAGGATCCCAGAGCATCATGGCCACCAGACCTGGATCTCCAAACCTTGAATTTCAGGCAACAAATCTGGGGGGAGATTCCACTCACCTTGGAGTGGGGAATGGGAACGAATAATGCTGAAAAGGTTTTAAAAACTCTTACTTTGTACATACAGGACAGATGAGTGGGTTTGCCTCCCACTCAGCCAGCATGATGCTGAGACACTTTTCATCAAACTGCAAGCTCTTCTCATACTCGCTGATGATGGACTGCTCTGCAAGGCAAAGGCAGTTGGAGGGCTTCACCATGCTTCAGCTGGCCCTGTATTTAATTCTAAACTTCACTGTCAAAGGCTTCCTTCACACGAGGGAAAGATTTGGGCAAGACCACAATACCAATGACTGGTTTTTATGCTCTCTCAGGCTGGCTTCATCTTGCTGGATTCCTCTCCCTCCTCTCTGTCCCCTTTTTGTGAGCACAAGAGGTGAAGTAGGCTAAGGGCCGAGGAGACAATTTTCACACACATCTCCAGAGGCCATAGGAGCACAGATACAGAATGTCAGGGTCCCACAGGCAACTAAATAAAGTTGACAAAGAGAACTGATTGCTGGCCGGGCACGGTGACTCACACCTGTAATCCCAACACTTTGGGAGGCTGAGGCAGGCAGATCACTCGAGGTCAGGAGTTCGAAACCAGCCTGGCCAACATGGTGAAACCCATCTCTACTAACAAACACAAAAAATTAGCCAGGCATGTGGCGCACGTCTATAATCCCAGCTACTCGGGAGGCTGAGGCAGAAGAATCACTTGAACCCAGGAGGCGGAGGTTGCAGTGATCCGAGATTGCGCCACTGCACTCCAGCCTGAGTGACAGAGCGAGACTCTGTGTCAAAAAAAAAAAAAAGAGAGAACTGATTTCTGATGCCAGGACGACCCTGCTGATTCCACATACTTGGAATCTGTGTTGTTCAGAATCTGTGTGCTCATTCATTCAGCAAACATACAACAGTACCTAGTATCTGCTAGTCACAGGGGCACAAAGATGAAAAAGACTGTCATTGTTGAGCTCACAGTCTAGACATTAGGGAAGGGGTCAAAAAACTACAGTCACGCTTATTTGTTTATGTAGTGTCTATAACTGCTTTTCCACTAGAACTGCAGAGCTGAGAAATTGTGCCAGAGACCACATGGTCTGTGAAGTCTAAAGTATTTGCTATCTGGCTCTTCACAAAAAGTCTGCCAACTTCTGCTTTAGAATGTTCCTTATGGCTGAGTACAGCACAACACAGTAAATCCTTGTCACTTCAGACTTATTAGTTAAGTATGCCCCAAAATAAAACATTTGGTCAGGCTTATGTTTCACCACTAAGATAGGTTTTGTAGGTGGGGGAAGGGAAAATCAATAAAAAAAGATGATAACTTAAGGAATTTACAGTCTAACCAGAGTCGACAGCAACAGTCATTAACAACTAACACTTGCATGGCACTTATGTGTCAAATGCTATTTTAAATTCCTTACATATATTAACTTCTTCACTATTATTATCCTTATTTCAAAGGTGAAGAAACTGAGGCACGGGGAAATTAAGTGCTTTGGTCGGTGCCACACAAATTAAAGTAGTAAAGCCAAGTGAATGTTAGAGGTATGACTCAAGAGCTTGTGCTCTTGCCTCACCATAATAATAGCTGTTGATTATTGAAAGCTCTCTATATGCCAGACAATGCACTAAGTCTTCTACACACGTTATTTAAGCCTTACAACAAATTTATAGGGTATTCTCTCCATTTTATAGGTCATAAAAATGAAGCCTAAGGCTGGGGGCCATGCCTCATGTCTGTAATCCCAACACTTTGGGAGGCTGAAGTAGGAGGATGGTTTGAGTCCAGCTGTTTGAGACCAGCCTAGGCAACATAGTGAGACCCTGCCTCTACAAAAAAATTTAAAAAATTAGGCTAGGCATTTTGGCTCATGCCTGTAATCTCAAAACTTTAGGAGGCTGAGGTGGGGGGATCACTTGAGACCAGGGAGGAGTTCGAGACCAGCCTGGGCAACACAGTGAGACCCTGTCTCTACAAAAAAATAAAAAAATTAGCTCGGTATGGTGGTGCACACTTGCGGTCCCAGCTACTCGGGAGGCTGAGATGAGAGGATTGGTTGAGCCTAGGAGGATGAAGCCACAGTGAGCCATGATTACATCACTGCACTCCAGCCTGGGCAACAGAGCAAGAACCTATCTCAAAAAAAAAAAAAATACATAAATAAAATAATTTTTTGTCTTGTTTTTATCATCTTTAGCTAAAAAAAAAAAATTAATAAAAAAAAATTAGCCAGGGGTGGTGGCACACGCCTATGATCCCAGCTATTCAGAAGGCTGAGGTGGGAAGATCGCTTAAGCCCAGGAGGTCAAGGCTGCAGTGGGCCGTGATCACGCCACTGCATTCCAGCCTGGGCAGAGACCCTGTCTCAAAAAAAACAAAAACAAAAACCAAACAAGGCCTAATCAAATCAGGGCTACATGGAATAAATGACTTAACTATATAAGGTACAAAATTATGCTCTCTACACCATGCTATGGACACCTCCCTCAAGGAGTGGATGCTCACAGGCCCTGGGGAGTTAATAGAGAATGTGGCACTTAAAATGAATAGGGCAAGGGATCAGACCATGCACTATCACTGTATCCTGTAAAATGGCAGGTTTACTTTTTTTTATTTTATTTTTTAAAGTGACAGGGTCTCCCTCTGTCAGCCAGGCTGGAGTGAGGTGGTAAAATTATAGCTCACTGTAACCTTAAACTCTTGGGTTCAAGTGATCCTCCTGCCTAAGCCTTCTGGCTGAGGGAGGCTACAAGTATTTGCTACCACACCCAGATAATTTTTTTTTTTTTTTTTTTACTTCTGTAGAGACAGGATCTTGTTATGTTGCCCATGCTGGTCTTGAACTGGCCTCAAGCAATACTCCTGCCTCAGCCTCTCAAAATGCTGGGATTACAGGCATAAGCCACCACCCTCAGTGAACTATTAACCCATTAATAGAGAGGCAGGATGGTAGAAGAAACATGGGAACTGGATTCATACAACTGATTTTGCTTCCCATCTCCTCCACTTACTAGCTGTATGACCTGCACGAGAACACCAACCACCTTCTGTTCTAATACTACTATCTTACAGGGCAGTCACATGGAGAAAACAGCATCATTAAATGAGAAGTTCTTAGCACAAGGTCTAGCACCCTGGAGACCCTTATTATTGAGAAGCTAGACAGCCAAGATGTCAGAGTACAAAAGGAGTCTTTTGGACACTTGACTGATGGAGGTAGACAAAGGGGACTTATAAACTAATCCTGATTGGAGGAAAGGTCACAGTATTCCAGTAGCTAAATACAGGTAAGGAAGGACTACCACTAGGGGTTACCTTGGTTGATCAGCTCCTGTTGAATTTCCTCCAGCACAGCCATGTCTATCAGCTCCTCCAGCTGGAAGAGAAAGGAGCGGCATCAGAAGTTTGAAGTATTAATCACCAACCAAGCCCCACAGTGATTCATACTTGGAGGCTGGCTTGAAGAACCCAGATTTATTGGACAAAATCAGTCCAGTCCTCCTGCAGAATATGCTGACAGTGGGGTAATGCTGTCATGCTGACAAGCCATCAACAAATGATCCAACTATCCAGTGACAAAATAATGGTACCCAATTTTGGAGAGACGATATAGGGTAGCAGTTAGGTACATATTCTTCCAAGGCTACGTAACCACATGAAAAGTTCCTAATCTCTGCAAATCTCAGTTTTGGCCTCTGTAAAGTGGGAATAAAATCTATCTAAGAGGGTTACTGTGAGTACTAGTTGTGGTGATATAAGGCAAACATTGGTGTACTGCAGGACACACAAAAGCCACTGAATAATGCATCATTATTACACAGGGTGTTGATGGTTTCAAACAGTTGCCCACATTTTCTTACACAGTCCTTACAATGCTGAAAACATTATCTTCTCATTTTATAAATGTGAAAACTAAACCTCAAAGAGGCAAACTGAAGTTAACAGTCAATAGCCAAACCAGGATTTGAATTCTGGAACTCCTGACTTCGAATCCAGTGTTCTTCCTGATACACTATAAATGGTTTTCCCTTCCACACATGGCTGCCAACGTTGGCTGAGATTAGAATCGGAAAGTTTCTGGAGACCTTTTTAGAAAGAGATTCCTGACGTGGGCAGATCACTAGAGGTCAGGCGTTCAAGACCAGCCTGGCCAACATGGTGAAACCCCATCCCTGCTAAAACAGAAACAAAATTAGCCGGGCATGGTGGCACACATCTGTAATCCCAGCTACTTGGGAGGCTGAGACAGGAGAATCGTTTGAACCCAGGAGGTGGAGGTTGCAGTGAGCCGAGATCTTGCCACTGCACTCCAGCCTGGGCGACAGAGCAAGACAGAAAAAAAAAAAGAGCGAGAGAGAGGGAGAGAAAGAGATTCCTAGCCTATGCCTACTGAATCATAATTTCCAAGGGTGGAGGCAAGAAATGAAATTTCTTTCTTTTTAGTTTCATAAATGATGATGTTGCAGTGATGAGCAGGTCTACGGTCTGGTATTTCAGACCATTTCATCTAGACAAGTCTAACATTAAGTGTAGAAAAGCCTGGGTTAAAGGCTGTTGAATTCTAAATGGGGTTAGGGGAATGGTGGGTTTAGAGGACTCAAGTAAACAAATAAAAGAGGACACGAGCCGTTCTTGGTGGTGCAGTCCCCCTCCCTGAAAACACATAGCCCAGCCTGACCTGAGCCAAGTCTTCTGGACAATTCTCCACTGACTGCAAAGCATTCCACTCTTCTTCCATCACCTCTTGAACTAGAAAGCTGTTCTGAGAATTCCCTGGCCCACTGCTTCCAGCCTGGCGGTACCTGTTTAGGAGCCTGTCCCGGCTGTTTCTCATTCTCTCCAGGCATCTCTGGGAAAAAAGAGCAAGATTGGGGGGGAAAAAAAAAGCATTTCTATTTTTAAAAAACACTCTTACATTAGTTGAGAAAACATTAAAGAAAGTTTATAGACACAAAATTTCAATGATAATACTAACTAGTGTTACTTTTGCATATTCCTCTGTAGAGATACATAAAATTACAATGCTTTGTACACGTATTTACAAAGAACCATATTTTTTATTCTAGCTTGCCAGTTTCCTTAATGGTTGTGTGCATAATATCTCAGCATCCAATGTCCTATTACAGAACATTTATATTCCTTCCAAATTCTTGCTACTCTAGATATGGCTGGGTAACGGCCTTCCTGCACAGCAGCGTTTCTGAACTCAGGGAGGTTTTGTCCCCCAAGGAACATTTGGCAATGCTTGGAGACATTTCTGGTTGTCACAATTCTAGTTATAGGACTATTAGCATCTAGTGGGTGGAGGCCCGAGACGTGGCTTAAACAACCCTCCACAACATATAAATATCTCCCTCAAAATGTCCATTGTCAAGGCTGAGAAACTCTGCTGTATCTGCTATCTTTCTTGCGTCGGGTTACTTTCTTGGACATTACTTACTAATAACCACACTGTGTTCAGAAGAGGCCAGAACTGAGGTGGAGCCCTCTTCTAAGCCTCATTTTACTACTCTCTAGAATAGAAATCATCTCTATCTCACAAGACGAACGTAGACAAAGTGCCTCTCTCGGTGGCCACCTCCGCAGCAACAGTAGGTAGTGTTATTGCAGAGGTGCAAACGGTGATGTCCTGACCACAATTTAAATTCAAAACAAAATCGAATCCAAAAACAAGGCTTTCTAGGACTTGACCGACCCGGGCTAATCCCACACTCTACAGTCAGCAGGCCTGGGTTTGACCAGACCAGGCGCGCTGCGGCACCTGCTCCACGGAGCAGGGCTAAGGCGAAGGCAGGGAAGACGGCGGTCACCGGGACGATCTAGGGTAGACCACTGCACAAACCCCATACCCACCTGCCGGAAAGCCTCTTTCCAAGGCGGCGAGCCCACCAGTTTGTACAGGGAGCGGCGCGGAGACCTCAACGACTCCGCCATCTCCTCTTCGCGGGAGACAAAGCCACAAGACCCGTTCCCTGGAGGCGCGCACAGACCCCTGGGAGGTGTACTTTCCGGGTGCAGACCGCGAATGGATCGCAGCGTATTCTGGGAAGTGTTGTTTTATCGACCGGCCCCACGTGGAGACAGATTTAGGCATCCAAGCGAAATGCGTGAGGCCAGCCCGACCTGCACTGAGGGAGGTAAGTCTTGAGGGAAAGTTCTGGATGCCTGGGTTTACCCAGATGGAGGTGTCCAATAGGCAATTAGATACACAAGTCTCAGGCTCTCCCCAGGTGCTAGATTTCCAGCAGCACCACCATTATGTTGACTTCTCGTCCCGCCCCCTTGGGCTTCAGAAATAATGGTGATTGGCTTTCCCTTGGTGACGCCCCTGCTTGGTGGGCTGGCCTCGCCTTCGCCCCCCGACCTGGCACGAGCCTCTCGAGCTTCCGGGCCGTCTGCTCGGTGATTGGCCGAAACAGTGAGTGGACGGCCGCGGATTGGCTGTGCTCAGCGGCGGGCTGAGCAACTGGAGTGAGGGGAGCAGTTGGGCCAAGATGGCGGCCGCCGAGGGACCGGTGGGCGACGGCGAGCTGTGGCAGACCTGGCTTCCTAACCACGTCGTGTTCTTGCGGCTCCGGGAGGGACTGAAAAACCAGAGTCCAACCGAAGCTGAGAAACCAGCTTCTTCGTCGTTGCCTTCGTCGCCGCCGCCGCAGTTGCTGACGAGAAACGTGGTCTTTGGCCTCGGCGGAGAGCTTTTCCTGTGGGACGGAGAAGACAGCTCCTTCTTAGTCGTTCGCCTTCGGGGCCCCAGCGGCGGCGGCGAAGAGCCCGCCCTGTCCCAGTACCAGGTAATGCCAGGCCGATCTTGGAAGTGACCCTCACCGGGATCGGAACCAGTCTTTTTTGTTCCTTGCTCCTCTTGGCTGTTTTTCATCTTGTGGCAGGCGTTCCAGCGGATTGACTCCGACGCTGCCATACGCGGTCGCGGGGACTCAGGCTCTCTCGATGCTTACGGCCTGGAGGCCTGGGAGGAAGGAAAGGGTCATTGAATATTCAATAAAAATACTAGTGACGGATGAGTGCTCTGGAGAAAAACAAAGCGGGCTAAAGGGGTTGAGAACGAGTGGGCGGAGTTGCTATTTTTAGTTTCGTCGAGAGAAACCTGTTTCCTGATGTGACGCTTATAATAGGTTAGATCGTAACTTTCTCTTGCGTTGTGCACAGCAAGTCAGGTTGCAGGTTTCAAAGCACCACGCTTCATGCTTGACATGGAGGAGGAAGTCTCTGTTAATTCTTACCCCCGTAACGCCCGCTTTAGAAAATAAAGCCATACCCAAAATGGGGATTTTTGTTTTTGATTAGCCGACAGCATGTGAAAATGGGTGTGATCCAGAAAGTATTACACACTTGCCGTGGTCAAATATTGGTTTATGGAAATGTTTATTTGTAATACACAGATTCTCTTAAAGATGAAAAAGAGCTTGGTACTCATTCTAAGGTATGACATCTGTTGTGTGCCCGGTCCAATTCTTGTTACCGAGAAGTGATTTAATTTTAATAAGACGCTAGCAATGCTTCTGCAGTTTTGAAAATAGGGCAGGAGTCTACAGTCTACTTATTTACCCAATTTCAGTTAAAAAGAATTATGAAGGCCGGGCGCGGTGGCTCACGCCTGCAGTCCCAACACTGGGAGGCAGAGGCAGGTGGATCACCTGAAGTCAGGAATTCGAGACCAGCCTGGCCAACATGGTGAAACCCCGTCTCTACTAAAAATACAAAAATTAGCCAGGTGTAGTGGCGCGCCCTTGTAATCCCAGCTACTCAGGTGCCTGAGGCAGGAGAATCGCTTGAACCTGGGAGGAGGAGGTTGCAGTGAGCTGAGATCACGCCCCTGCACTACAGCCTGGGCAACAGAGCAAGACTGTGTCTCAAAAAATAATAATAATTACCAAATGTGCAGCACGCAGTATTCTAATAACATTCTATACTGCTGTGTAGCATTTGACATAATCATAACTTAATTATTTATAATTATTTTGTGTCTTTTTTTTTTTTTTGAGATGGAGTTTCGCTCTTGTTGCCCAGGCTGGAGTGCAATGGCGCCATCTCGGCTCACCGCAACCTCCACCTTCCAGTTTCAAGCGATTCTTCTGCCTCAGCCCCCCCCGCGAGTAGCTGGGATTACAGGTATCTGCCACCACGCCCGACTAATTTTTGTGTTTTTAGTAGAGACGGGGTTTCGCCATGTTGGCCAGGCTGGTCTTGAACTCCTGACCTCGTGATCTGCTGGCTTTGGCCTCCCAAAGTGTTGGGATTACAGGCGTGAGCCACTGCGCCCGGCTGTTTTTGTTTTGTTTTGTTTTGAGGCAGGATCTCGCTCTGTTGCCCAGGCTGGAGTGCAGTGGTGCAATCTCAGCTAACTGCAACCTCCACCTCATGGATTCAAGCGATTCTCCTGCCTCAGCCTCTTGAGTAGTTGGGATTACAGGCCCACTCCACCGTACCCGGCTACTTTTTGTATTTTTAGTGGAGACGGGGTTTCACCATGTTAACCAGGCTGATCTGGAACTCCTGGCCTCAGGTGATCCACCCGTCTTGGCCTCCCAAAGTGCTGGCATTTCAGCCGTGAGCCATGGCACTCTGCCTCTGTCTTCTTTTCTAGACTGTAAGCTCCAAGGCAGGGGCTGGGTCTGCCCTTGTCATTTTTTAAAAACGTATTTTATTTTTTATTTTTGAAATGGGGTCTTTCTCTGTTGCCCAGGCTGGAGTGCAGTGGTGTGATCACGGCTCATTGGAGCCTCTACTGTCAGGGGTCGAGTGATCCTCCCACCTCAGCGCCTGGAAGTAGCTGGGACTACAGGCATGTGCCACCACGCCTGGCTATTTACTTATTTTTGTATGTCCAGCATACAGAAATGCTGGAGTGCCCAGAATTTATAAGCTTTCAGTAAATATTGGTGACTATCTCAATAACCTTCACTCCTCCAAAATCTCAAAACCTTAGAGATGGGGAAGAAAGCAGCTTATCATGAGTTGTAACTTTGGATGTTAAAAGCAAGCATGAGTAAGCTGGGTGTGGTAGCTGTAGCCTATAATCAGCACTTTAGGAGGCCAAGGTGGAGGCAGGTGGATCTTGTGAGCACGGGAACAGGTGTTCAGACCAGCCTGGGCAACATGACGAAACCCCCATCTCTACAAAAAAAACCTTTTTAATTAGCTGGGAGTGATGGTGCACACCTGTAGTCCCAGCTCCTCTGGAAGCTGAGGTGGGGAGGACACTTGAACCCCCATAGTAAAGTCTGCAGTGGGCTGCCACTGCACTCCAGCCTGGGTGACAGCAAGACTCTGTCTCAAAAAAAAAAAAAAAAATTTGTGAGTTAATGGTACAAGTGTGAGTACTTATCCAGAGTTTTATTATCCTATAATTGTAGTAAACTAAGTATTACTGTGATTTCAAGTAACTGCCACCTATATTTAAATTAAAATTAACTATGTTGACTGGTTTGCTCTAATTTTCAGAGATTGCTTTGCATAAATCCACCCCTGTTTGAAATCTATCAAGTCTTGTTAAGCCCAACACAACATCATGTAGCACTTATAGGAATAAAAGGACTTATGGTATTAGAATTACCTAAAAGATGGGGGAAGAATTCTGAATTTGAAGGTGGAAAATCAACAGTGAATTGTAGGTAAGTTGTATACTATTTATCTGTATAATTTATTATATATACAGAAAATTGTTCAAGACTAGTGGTTCTTAAGCATGTTTAGTATACTACTCTTAAAACATTAAAACACTCCTCGTGGTCTGCAGACTGGCTTCTGTGTTATCAATGTTCATAGTATATGTGTAATTGATTGTACTTTATTCTGCCTGAAGTACCACGTTGCTGTCTCATTTGAGGCTAGGCCATTCTTTCGATTAGGTAGAAGTAAGATTTTGTAAAACCAGTTATCTGTCAGCCAGAAGTTTGCCAGAAGTGTAAGTATTTTATGTGTGTGTGTGTGTGTGTATGTGTGTATATATATATATACTTTTTTTTTTTTTTTTTTTTTTGAGATGGAGTCTTGCTCTGTCACCCAGGCTGGAGTGCAGTGGCACAATCTCGGCTCACTGCAAGCTCCGCCTCCTGGATTCAAGCGATTCTTCTGCCTCAGCCTCCCGAGTAACTGGGATTACAGGCAAGCGCTACCATGCCCAGCTAATTTTTGTATTTTTAGTAGAGACGGGGTTTCACCATGTTGACCAAGCTGGTCTTGAACTCCTGACCTCAAGTGATCCACCCACCTTAGCCTCCCAAAGTGCCGGGGTTATAGGTGTGAGCCACCGCACCTGGCCTATTTTTATATAATTTCTTTTTCAACAAATCCAGAAAAGTGAATCTGAAAGATCTACTGAAAAGAGTACAGATGCTTTTCAACTTACGATTGGGTTATGTCCCGATAAACCCAGTGTAAGTTGAAAATGGATTTATTGCTGACAACACAGCAGAGGATCCCCGATTTAGGATGGTTCAACGTAGGATTTTTCAACATTATGATGGGTAACCCCATCATAAGTCGTAAGGAGCTCCTCAGTTTATGTTGGCTTATGTACTGGTAAACCCATTGTAAAGTTGGGGATCATCTGTATAAGGTAGAAACTGCTTTTAGCTCCGCAACTTATAAGTTGAGTCCCCTTAAACTGTTTACCTTCTAAATCTGTTTCCTCATTTTAAAAATAGGATTGATAATATCTGCCCTTGTAATTTCCTTACAGGGTTAGTAAAAAGATCAAATGAGATACTATATCTGAAAACACTTGTACTGTATAAATATGTATCAATCCTAAGTCAAACCATCCTAAAATGTATATATACGTATGAAATATGCTATAATTTGGAGCCAGGCACGATGGCTCACACCTGTAATCCCAGCACTTTGGGAGGCCGAGGCAGGTGGATCACCTGAGCTCAGGAGCTTGAGACCACCCTGGGCAACATGGTGAAACCTCATTTCTACTAAAATACAAAAAATAAGTGGGGTGTGGTGGCACACGCCTGTAGTCCCAGCTACTCAGGAGGTTAAGGCACAAGTATTGATTAAATCCAGGAGGCGGAGGTTGCAGTGAGCAAAGATCACGCCACTGCACTCCAGCTTGGGCCACAGAGTGAGACTTCATCTCAAATAAATAAACAAATAAAATTTAAATAAATAATTTAAATTATTAAAATAAATAAATTATTTATTTATTTTGAGACAGAGTCTGGCTCTGTAGCCCAAGCTGGAGTGCAGTGGCGTGATCTCAGCTCACTGCAACCTCCTCAGCCCGGGCTGGAGTGCAGTGGCACAAGCTCAGCTCACTGCAGCCTCCACCTCCTGGGTTCCAGCGATTCTTCTGCCTCAGCCTCACGGGTAACGGGTTACAGGCATGTGCCACCACACTTGCCTAATTCTTGTATTTTTAGTGGAGACGGGGTTTTACCATGTTGGCCAGGCTGGTCTCAAACTCCTGACCTCAGGTGATCCACCTGCCTTGGCCTCCCAAAGTGCTAAGATAGGCGTGAGCCATTGCGCCCAGCCAGTGTGCTATAATTTAGAAGATATTTTTATTTCAATTCTTTGATATTGATTGAATAGATGCCTTGAATGTCCTCTCAGCATGATTTCAGGGAAATAAATCTGAAGGAAAGAGAATCAAAGAGTGTTAAAATAGAAATTTCTTCAGGGCCTGGCGTGGTGGCTCATGCCTGTAATCCCAGCACTTTGCGAGGCCGAGGTGGGCAGATCACCTGAGGTCGGGAGTTTGAGACCAGCCTGACCAACATGGAGAAACCCCCTCTCTACTGAAAATACAAAGTTCGCTGGGCGAGGTGGCAGGTGCCTGTAATCCCAGCTACTTGAAAGACTGAGGCAGGAGAATCACTTGAACCTGGGAGGCGGAGGTTGCAGTGAGCCGAGATTGTGCCGTTACACTCCAGCCTGGGCAACAAGAGAGAAACTCCATCTGCAAAAAAAAGAAGTTCCTTTAGAAGATTTTCATCCAAGTTGTACAAAATGTTTTGGAAAATTATTATCTTTATTTTAGTACCACTCCAGTTGCGGAGAGATTTTTCACCAGTTCCACCTCTCTGACTCTAAAGCATGCTGCATGGTATCCAAGTGAAATCCTGGATCCCCACGTAGTGCTGTTAACATCAGACAACGTAATCAGGTAAATTTTATTTCTCTCTCTTGAAGCCTTGCGAGTGGGAAAGCTCTGTTTCTGTTTGCCAATTAACAGCTCAACATAGAACGAAGTGAGTCATTGAATGAGTCAGTGCTTTTATTGGATGGCTGTTGTAACCCATTCTCAATCATAAGAATTGCCTAACTGCTCTAACTTACCACTATTCCTTCTCAACTAGTCTTCCTGCCTCCAGGTATCTCCTCTCCTAATCTGACACCTTAGAATAATCTTTCCAAAACTCTTTCATCATTGTCACCCTTTTGGTAATAATGTAGCATAAAGGAAAGAGAATGTAAGTGTAAATTTAGAGATTTGAATTATTGTCCCACCTCCTTTTCTGTTATCTTTGAGATCTTGAGCTTTTTAGGGGTTGGGGGGCTCAGTTTCCAATCTTTTAAATTGAGCAGGTTTGATTCAATAGTTTCTAACGCCCCTTCCAAGCTTTGCACTCTATGATTAAATGCCCTAATGCTACGTAGATTTCTACTCTATTATCAGCTAACTTTCTGGATCGGCCTTATGTAAAAAGTTATTGGGGGGACTCAGCAGAGGTACAGATACCTTCAGTTTTATTTTTCGTAATCACTGCTTTTAACTGTGCTCTACTAAATCTTCCTTCACTGCTGAATGACTCACCCCTTAATGATGTCTTATACAGATCCCCATAGCTTTCTCGTTACTTCTAGTTATGAAAACAGTGTGTCCAGTTTAAAACTCATCTTGGCTGGTTGCAGTGGCTCACACCTGTAATCCCAGCACTTTGGGAGGCCGAGGTGGGAGGATCATTTGAGCCCCTGAGTTCGAGACCAATGTGGGCAATACAGTGAGATCCTGTCTCTGCAAAAAAAATTAGCTGGGCATAATGGCATGTGCCGGTAGTCCCAGCTACTCAGGAGACTGAGGTAGGAAGATTGCAGCCTGGGTGACAGAGTAAAACCCTGTCTAAAGAAAATAAGAATGTCGAAAGCTATTTGATCTCAAATCTTTCACAACTATGTCCTGGCCCTTTTGTAGGTCAGACCTGTGTTTTGTGGGATCAGAAGTGATTGGAGAGTGTGCGGTCTGCTCTTTCACTCTTCCTGTTATCCCAGCACTTTGGAACATAGGGTGAAGTGTAAGGAATGGGCTGCCCCCTCCTTCCTCCAAATCTAACTCCTTCAGTGTGGGGTAGGGGAGTGGGACAGGTGAGGTAGAGATCTTACCGAACTGGTAGCCTGTGAGTGATGGGGAAGTATGCCTGATCTTGTTTGAATCTCGTTCCATCTGTCACTAGTGAACTCTGTTGATGTGGTAGTCTCTGCATAGATGGTGTGTTTGTGTGTGTGTATGTGGGGGGGTGGGGTGGTGTTGGAGGGCAGTGTTGAACTTCCAGCTCCCCCCATCACTGAGGAGCTCTGGCTCCCATTGGCTCCTGTCAGTTCTCTATGCCCTGAATCTTCTCTCAAGATGGGGTACAGTATACTTTATCTGCAGGGTGTGTGTTCCAAGACCCCCCAGTGAATGCCTGAAACTGTAGATAGTACTGAACGTGATACGTGTGTATTGCTATGTTTTTTCGATCTTATAACTGAGACAGCTACTAAGTGACTAAGGGGCATTCAGCTAGGAAATGCACCAGTCTCCCTTATTACAGGTACCTCCACATCTGGCTGTTTCCTAGAGCCTTCCCTGCCCACCCATTTGGCTTTAGAGTTCAGGGCAGAGAAAGAGGAGAGGGAAAATCTTCCCATTACAAACATTATACTGTACTCCTAAGGAATCTTTGACATCCTCTCTTCTTAGTCTTCCTTTTATATGCTATGATGGAAAAGGAGATGGTGGGAAGATAGCATAGGTACAGTTCTTAAGCCCCAAAGGAAGTATCTGGCCCCAAATATTGAAGGTTCTTTTTTAAAATATGTGGTATTTAACACTTCTGTTTTCCTAAGCTTTGGAGATTTTGGGCAGTTTCAGAGCAAAAGGAAATTTTCACCGAATGCCCTGTTGCACCTTCTTTTTCTTTCACTGTTCCCCAGTACAACATTATTGCCTAGTATTTATGTGTATTTTGAAGTTAGTAACGCTTGTAGGAACCTAGGAAGACTGTAATAAATGTGTATTCAAATGGATCAAGTTATCATTAAAAATTTATTAAATACTTAATGTGGCATTTTATTGATATTGGAAGAAACCAAGTTAAAAAATTCTTAGTGGCGTCAGACAAAATAAGTGATTATAAGGGACACTGGATTTCTAAAATGACATTACTGGCCTTTTGAAAATTCCCTTTTTCACAATAGCCTTATATGCTGTGAAATGTAGGTTACTTTAAATTAAAATAATTTTGGTTAAAAAAATTCAGTATTATACTTTCCCTTGAAAATAGAGATGATACGATACTGGGTTTGTTTGTTTGGTTTTTTTTTTTTTTTTTGAAATGGAGTCTCGCTCTGTCGCCCAGGCTGGAGTGCAGTGGCGTGATCTTGGCTCACTCCAGCCTCCAGCTCACCGCAACCTCCACCTCCCAGGTTCAAGTGATTCTCCTGCCTCAGCCTCCCGAGTAGCTGGGATTACAGGTGTGTGCCACCACACCCAAATAATTTTTGTATTTTTAGTAGAGACGGGGTTTCATCATGTTGGCCAGGCTGGTCACGAACTCCTGACCTCAAGTGATCTGCTCACCTCGGCCTCCCAAAGTGCTAGGATTACAGGTGTGAGCCACCGTGCTTGGCCAATATTGGGTTTTTATATAACAAACACATAAGTAGATTTGCAGGCTAAATATCACTCACTCTGTCAGCCAGTTGGCATATAAAGAATAAGATACAGTTCTTTCTCTGGTGGGATTTGGTGTCCAATAGGCAGAGATAGATGTGTGTAGTTGAAGGAAAACTGGCAAGCTTAGGGGCAATAGTGAGATGACTGGACAAGGCGAGTATAGCTAAGGGCTCAGGACGGAAGTGACAGAGGTGCGATGTTATGGAATAGGCTGTTAAAGGGTATTGGTAAGGATAGAGAACATTTCTTCAGGCCCCAATGAAACTCCCTTATGTAGTTAAAGAATAAATGAACTAGACTACTTTGCAACAGCAAGATTTTTGCAAAGAAATAGTTGTGATAAGTGTTAGAAAATTCTCAAGAACTGACTAGATGGAGAGGAAAGTGCAGTTTTGGGAAATGAAAACAGAATTTTAAGTGCTGGTTTTCTTCTCTTTTGGTTGCTAGAATTTACTCACTACGTGAGCCGCAGACACCCACTAACGTGATAATACTTTCAGAAGCCGAAGAGGAAAGTCTAGTACTCAATAAAGGGTAAGTTTTTATTTGAGTCTTGAAATGGTTTTTTAATTAGCTTATTGGGATTATAAATGCAATTTTAACAGGTTGCAAGGTTTTTCAGAGGTGACTAGCATGCTTTTGGTAATGTGAGAAGTAAGTGTATTTTTAGTAGAACAGGGATTCGTCGTGTTGGCCAGGCTGGTCTGGAACTCCTAGGCTCAAGTGATCCTGCTCGTCTCAGCCTCCCCAAAGTGCTGGAATTACAGGCCTGAGCCACCATTCATTTCTTTATCACCTTTCTATGTGATAAAGAAACTAAGATAATATCTTGCATTGATGTTTGCTCTCTCAACTATATGAAATTGTGATTTCATTTTAACCATATTTGTTAACTTTGTATTGAACTAGAATCTTCCTGAATAACTACAGTAAATTTTAAATATAAAAACAGCATGGTTTTATGATTTGCCTTCTTGATATACATGTAATGTATATTTGCTGTAGAAAATTGAGAAAAATAGATCAAAGTATTAGGAAGAAAATGAAAATCTTTGTAATCTCCTATAGCTATAGCCTGTTTCAATACAGCACCCAAAGTTTAATCACATCATTCTACTTTAATCTAAGTTTAATCAGATCAGTTTAATCAGATCATTCTACTTCCCTGCTCTCCATACCCCATTGATTTCCCAGAGTCTTTACCTATAAAGGGTCCACAGGTATGCCACCTGATTGCCTTTCCAGCTTCATTCCTCCCTCTGTGCCCTGGCTCTCTGGGCTCCAGGCACCTTGGCCTCCTTGCCATTCCACAGACATTAAGCACTTCTACCTTAGAGCATTTGCTCTCCACCTCAACTGCTCCTTCCCTAGTTAACCACAGACTTGCTCTCTTACTTCCTTCAGATCTTTGCTCAAATATCTTATCAGAGTCTTTCCTATACCAAGTAGTCTAAAGTAGCACCTCCATCAATACCCTCTTACCCTACTTTATTTTTCATGATATTTTCTGAGTTTATGTTCCATCTTTATTTCTTCTCTTTTTGTGGTATTTCTCTCTCTAGAGGGCAGGACATTTGTTTAATTCACTGACATATTCCCAGACCCTAGAAAAGTACCTGGCACAGAGTAGGTGCTTTGCGAGTATTTGTAGAACTTACGGATCCTGCTGCTCAGAGACAACTGTTGATGTTTTCATGTGTTTTCCTGTTTCCTTTTTGCATTTATGTGTGTGTATATAATAAATTTTTGCTATTTGTATATCTGTGTATTTAAACTATTTAAGATGAGAGTAGAACCAAATAATTTTATGGCCAGCTTTTTTCACTTAATTTCATGAGAATTTTTTTTTTTTTTTTTTTTTTGAGACGGAGTTTCGCTCTTGTCGCCCAGGCTGGAGTGCAATGGCACAATCTCGGCTCACTGCAACCTCCGCCTCCCAGGTTCAAGCAATTCTCCTGCCTTAGCCTCCCAAGTAGCTGGGACTACAGGCACCTGCCACCACGCCCAACTAATTTTTGTATTTTTAGTAGAAACGGGGTTTCACCATGTTGGCCAGGCTGGTCTCGAACTCCTGACCTCAGGTGATCCACCCACCTCGGCCTCCCAAATTGCTGGGATTACAGGCATGAGCCACTGCACCCAGCTGAGAATTTTTAAATGTTAACATTCTTCATAATCATTTTTTGTCTTTTCAGTCCATTGCCTACAAATTCCATACATACCCACCTCCTGTTATTAGACATTTTGTGTTTTTGTTTTGTTTTGTTTTTCTTTTTACTTTTTGTTGTTTTTGTTTTTAACAAGTTGGTTTTTACATCTCTTTCCAGAAGGGCGTATACCGCATCTCTAGGAGAGACAGCAGTTGCATTTGACTTTGGGCCATTGGCAGCAGTCCCAAAGACTCTATTTGGACAAAACGGCAAAGATGAAGTAGTGGCATACCCACTGTACATCTTATATGAAAATGGAGAGACTTTCCTGACATACATCAGTCTGTTACACAGGTAAGTTGAGGTGGTCACCCACCTGAAATGAAAACTCAGTTTGGGCTCCAGTAGATATCATTGAGGCTGGACTTGGGAGCCATGTTTTTGAGTCTGTGGAAATGTTGCAGCCTTCACATGCTTGGCTTGCATATTTTTGAGAAAGAGTTAGTACAGGTCATTTGGCCTTTCATTTCTTCATATTATTTGGGTAAGTTCTATAGAATTCTTGGATAATCACTTATGAT
Source organism: Homo sapiens (assembly GCF_000001405.40). Taxonomy (NCBI): domain Eukaryota; kingdom Metazoa; phylum Chordata; class Mammalia; order Primates; family Hominidae; genus Homo; species Homo sapiens. Next base: position 5,408,505 of record NC_000017.11, on the reverse strand, counting down.
AGGCCTGGATTTGTGTTCACAAATTCTAGTTATCCGAACAAGTGCTTATTGTTTATCTTATATGAACAAGACACCACGTAGGCGTGGTAATCTGGTATCTTATGTCCCAGTTGTGGGGAGAAAGATACATACACATGAAAAAATACTATCCATACCACAGTATTGGTACACAGACAGTAAGAACCCCGAGGAAGGAGAGATCATTCTGACTGGGAGGTTAAGGAAATTTTCGTAGAGAAGGAGTGGTGTCATGTGTGACTTAAAGGTCTCATTCAGGATTAAATGAAGTATCAAGGAAGAGTGAGACCATTTCTGTCAAGGGCAGCATAAAGTAGCGTCTGAAAATAAGCAAGTGCAAGTGTCATTCAAGCTTAATTTATTAGACATTCTGGGCTAGAGCTGAGGATTCATGTAGGGAGCATTAAGTGATAAAGCTGGAGTATCTGTCCCGAGAAAATTTGCTGGAATTAAAAATACCTCGTTAAAAGAGTGAGTGTGGGTTTTTTTTCTGTAGGAATAGGGTAGTAGGAAGCCAGTGATGGTTTCTGAACAGAAGGACAAAACAATTGGTTAGGGAGGGGACTGGGACAGAGACTTTTAAAGAAGCTTTTGCAAAATTGAGCTTGTCATTTATGAGAGTTTGAACTTGGGTGGTAATAGAACAGAGGGAAAAATGAAACACAGTAGATAACAACAAAGGAAGGATAAATAAGACTTAGTTACTGTTTGGATAAGGGAGTATGCCATGAACAGAAACAGGTCAGTAAAGGCTGCTAATTGGGGGAGAAGATTTATTTCTAAGTAAATCAGTGTAAGATAGTATTGGACCAATAAAATGGAAATATTCCATGGACAGTTGGAAATACAGGATGATGACAGACAAGAAGAATTAAAATAGAGGTATGAGAATCATCTTTCATGGTGAGAGAGTCTATACAGGATAAGAATTTGAGGGAAAACTGCAGAGGCATAAGGCTAAGGGCTGAGCATTAGAGTTTATTCGCTTGTAAATCGACTTAACAGATACTTATTCAGGACCCACTCTGGCAGAAGATGGAAATACAAGATTGAAGGCAAGGTTCCTGCCATGTGGTTCCTTAACTACCAGAAGGGCATACAACTAAACCAGTAACTATAGTACAGTGTCATGTGCTCAGGGCATCACCGGGTTCTTCAGGAGTGTGATGGAGTAAATGAGTAGGCCTGCTCATCTTGGAAGACTTTAAGGAAATGCTATTACAAAAGCTTGAACTTGAAGGATTCACTAGACAGAATCAGAAGTGGGTACAGGAGAGAGAAGAGAGTACGCAAAACCATAAAGATTAGAAAGATGAAAGAGCTCGGTAGGTTACAGAATGGTGAGGATTCACTGTTGAGTGCATTCTCCTTGGCAGAAATGTTCTCTGCCTTTCACACATGATCTCAGGAGGATTTTGTGGTAACTTTAGTACCTTCCCTTACCCTTTCTCCTCTTGCTGCTGAGCCCTCATTTGTCCAAACCATGATCTGCCTAGTAACGTTAGCCCAAAACCCAAAAGTTTTCTTCATCCTTACATTTCATCAGTCCCAAATTTCTATTGATTTTGTGATTTAAATTTTTCGAAAGTATACACCAAGCTTGTCCAACCCACGGGCTGCGCGCAGCCCAGGACAGCCTTGAATGCAGCCCAACGCAAATTTGTAAACTTTCTTAGAACATTATGATATTTGTTTGCGATTTTCTTTTCTTTTCTTTTTTTTTTAAAGCTCATCACGTATTGTTAGTGTATTTTCTGTGTGGCCCAAAACAATTGTTCCAGTGTGGCCCAGGGAAGCCAAAAGATTGGACACCCCTGATTATACACCCTTCTCTGCATTCCTCTGTCCCTGCTTCAGAACTGCATCATCTGCCTACTTCACCATCTGCCTGGCTTATTTTCTTAAATAGTTTCCCCAAATCCCATTTTGGACCCTTCCATGTCTTCCTCCCTAATACCAGACTGATTTGTAAAGTGAGGCTCCATCGCTTGATTTAAACCTCTAGTGATATACTGTTACCCGGCAGATAGATTTCAAATAGTTTAACATAGCACACAAGACTGTGTACTTCATAAGCCAGTCCTGGATGTCTGTCTAGCTATTTTGCCGTTGCCTTCCACCTTGTACTTTGCCTCCCATCATACTAAATAAGTTTTCTTGTTCTTAGTTCTTTGTCTTTCATGTTTCCAGGACTTTGCATAAACTGATCTCTAGCTTGGAATGCTCAACAATCCCCTTCCCAGAAATCATTCTTTCTCATTTTTCTCATTTATTTTTTATAGCTTTCTTCATTATCTTTGTATCTTTTTGTCATTCCTTTGTACACCATAAATCCTTCTGTTGTTGCACTTATCACATGGTATAGTAATTCTGGTTAAATGTCTGCCTCATCAACTAAACCATCATTCACTGGGAGTATCATCTAGCACTCAATAATAAGTATTTGTCAAATCAAATTTAATATGGGGATCCAAAGCCTTGAAGAGAAGCTACATTTTAGAAGAAAGGATTTGGTAGTCTTTGAATATAGATGGTAGTTAAAACGAGGCATAGTTTAACAGGCTCTCATTTAAGTGTGTATTTTGAAAAAAGTCAAAGCATACAACAGAATCCTGGAGAACACCAATATTTAAGAGACAGAAATTAGAAAAGGACGTTAGAAAATTGTGTTTAAAGAGGTAGGAAGAGAGAACTACAAGAAAGAATTGTTACAGCTGTTGAGTAGCAGTAGTCGTTAACCAGTGATAAATGCAGCAGAAGGTTAAGTGCATTTTGGATTTAGCAAATCTCACAGGTGACCTTTGCCACAGTAGCTTCAGTGGAGTGGTGAAAGCATAAACCATAGTAAATTTAGGGCAAGGGTTTTCAACCTTTGTACTATTGACATTTTGGTCTGAATTATTGTTTGTTTTAGAGGTGCTGTGCTGTGCGGGAATGTTTAGCGGCTTCTGTCTAGCCTCTAACCACTAGATGCTAATACCTCCCCCCACATTGTGACAACCAGTTGTGACAAGCCAAAATGTCTTCAGACATTGCCACTGTCCGCTAGGGCAAAATTATCTCTGGTTGAGAAACACAGAGTGGTGGGATCTGAGTGGGAAAGCGAGAAGATGGAGTATTGGGAATACACTACATTTATAATGAAGGTATGATAGCTGGAGGAAAACAAAGTCAAAGAATGGTTTTATGGGATGAGCATGCATACTGTCAACATTTCCCAAATATGTTTTTACTCCTTCTTTAGCCCTGGAAATATTGGAAAGCTGTTGGGTCCATTGCCCATGCATCCTGCGGCTGAAGATAACTATGGTTATGATGCGTGTGCTGTACTCTGCTTACCCTGTGTCCCCAATATCTTAGTGATCGCTACTGAATCAGGAATGCTGTATCACTGTGTCGTGCTAGAAGGGGAAGAAGAAGATGACCACACGGTAAGTGCAGGCTGCTGTGGTTGTTTGTATCTTCAACACCTGGCATAGTTCCTGACCCAATATGAATGCTTAATATATGAGAAGGAATTTTAACTTACTTATGGAACTTCTGATATTTTGGAAATTAAACAGTTAAAAAAGTAGCTGAAGCACACTTAGCAGTCTAAGTGGAAAGAAGTTAGAAGGTTGCCCAACTTACTTGGTCCACCAGTCTGCATGTTACTTTCTGGTCTCTATATTGCAATCTTCAGGGACAGATACAAAGAGCCTTGGAATCACTGAATTGGCTTTTTTCACAAACATCTTCCTAAAGGAAGAGAGACGTTTTGTCTTCAGAATAACAGTGCACTGTTAGGATAGAGGTGGAATTAAGAATTTGAAAGTACTGTTTGACCCAGCTTTTTTTTCAATTTTTTTATTTATTTTTTATTATTATTTTTTGGAGACAGAGTTTCGCTCTTGGTGCCCAGGCTGGAGTGCAATGGTGTGATCTCGGCTCACTGCAACCTCTGCCTCCTGAGTTCAAGCGATTCTCTTGCGTCAGCCTCCCCAGTAGCTGGGATTACAGGCACCCACCACCACGCCCGGCTGATTTCTTGTACTTTTAGTAGAGACAGGGTTTCAGTATGTTGGCCAGGCTGGTCTCGAACTCCTGACCTCAGATGATCCACCTGCCTCGGCCTCCCAAAGTGCTGGGATTACAGGCAAGAACAGCCGCACCCGGCCCTGACCCAGCTTTTTGCCTGTTTTTAATTGTGTACATTTTCAAATTAACATGCAAGATCAAAATTACAACACTTTTTTTTACAGTCAGAAAAGTCCTGGGATTCCAGGATTGACCTCATTCCTTCTCTGTATGTGTTTGAATGTGTTGAGTTGGAGCTTGCTTTGAAACTGGCATCTGGAGAGGATGACCCTTTTGATTCTGACTTTTCTTGTCCAGTCAAACTTCATAGAGGTAAGCTCTTCAATAAATGTAGTGCTTTTTTCCCATGATTTTTATACTAAGACTATCATAGACTGTTCCTATGTAATGTATTTGTTCTGTGGTTCCAGCCTTTAAAAAGTTGACTGGGTTTTTTTTAGCTTTTTAGTCACTATAGTACACTTTTTGTCTAAGGCAGACTGAGCAAATTTCCCAAGTTTTAAAATAGTGGTCTTTGGTCCAGATCACCAGATTCCTAATAGTGAATTTTTCCTGGTCCTTTCAAAAGTAGAACTACCATGTTATTCAGTAGTTCCACTACTGGGTATGTCAAAAGGAAAGGAAATAATAGGTTGAAGGGATACCTACACTCCCATGCCCATTGCAGTGTTATTCACAACAGCTAAGATGCTGAATCAACCTGTGTCCATCGACAGACCAAATGGATTTTGTTGTTGTTGTTGTTGTTGTTGAGATGGTGTCTGGCTCTGTCACCCAGGCTGGAGTCTAATGGCGCAATCTCGACTCACTGCAACCTCCATCTCCCAGGTTCAAGCGATTATTTTGCCTCAGCCTCCCAAGTAGCTGGATTGCAGGTACCCACCACCATGCCTGGCTAATTTTTATATTTTTATTTCATTTATTCATTTATTTTGAGATGGAGTCTCGCTCTGTTGCCCAGGCTGAAGTGCAGTGGCACCATCTCAGCTCACTGCAACCTCCGCCTCCTGGGTTCAAGCAATTCTTCTGCCTCAGCCTCCCTAGTAGCTGGGACTACAGGCATGTGCCACCACGCCCTGCTAATTTTTGTATTTTTAGTAGAGACGGGGGTCTCACCATATTGGCCAGGCTGGTATCGAACTCCTGACCTTGTGATCCGCCCACCTCGACCTCACAAAGTGCTGGGATTCCAGGCGTGAGCCACTACGCCTGGCAATTTTTGTATTTTTAGTAGAGGTGGGATTTCACCATGTTGGCCAGGCTGGTCTCAAACTCCTGGCCTCAAGCAGTCCACCTGCCTCGGCCTTCCAGAAGTACTGGGATAACAGATGTGAGCCACCGCGCACCTGGCCCCAAATGGATTTTTAAAATGTGGCATTGTATACACAGTGGAATACCATTTGGCTTTTGTGTGTGTGTGTGTGATATGATCTCACTGTGTCATCTAGGCTGGAGTACAGTGGCGTGATCTTGGCTCACTGCTTTGCCTCCCAGGCTCAAGCAATCCTCTCACCTCAGCCTCTGGAGTAGCTGGGACTACAGGTGTGCACCACCACGCCTAATTTTTGTATTTTTGGTAGATACGGGATTTTGCCATGTCGTCCAAGCTGAAAGTCCTGAGCTCCAGTGATCCTTCTGCCTCAGCCTCTCAAAGTGCTGGTCCACAGGTGTGAACCACCATGCCCAGCCCTATTTGGCTTTAAAAAAGAATGAAATCGTGTCATTCACTGCAACATAGGAGGATTTCAATCTTGTAGCAGTTTGACCTACTCTCCTTACAGTTCTTGTTAGCCAGTTTGCCTAGTTCTGGTAATAACGGCCTCAACTCTGTACTAAAGTATAGGCAAAACATTTAAGGGGGCAGAATTCCTTACATAACAAACCAGCAAAGAGTGTACATTGGGTTTGTCTAATTAAGGTATTTTGAGATTTATATTGTCTAAGAATTTTATAGATGAGGAAACAGACCAAATGAAGTAAAGTGACATAAACTAATTGGTTTCCTCATATAGATACGTATATCTTTGGGAAATCTTAAGTGTAGACGTGGACGTTTTGTTCTTGGGTTTTGTTTTTTGTATTTTGTTTTTTGTTTTTTTTTTTGAGATGGAGTTTTGCTCCTGTTGCCCAAGCTGGAGTGCAATGGCACGATCTTGGCTCACTTCAACCTCCGCCCCCTGGGTTCAAGCGATTCTCCTGCCTCAGCCTCCCAAATAGCTGGGATTATAGTCATGCGCCACCAGGCCTGGCTAATTTTTGTATTTTTAGTACAGATGGGGTTTCACCATGTTGGTCAGGCTGGTCTCGAACTCCTTATCTGTCCACCTTGGCCTCCCACAGTGCTGGGATTTTAGGCATAAACCACCATGCCCAGCCTTTTCTTGGTTCTTCTAATGAGAGTAACATTTTCATATGTGAAACTAAGAAATTTTTGACTTGTTCCTAATTGTGCTGAACAAGGCATATTATAATCACTGAGGCACACCAGATTTCTTAGTGACAAAGTGAAATGGCTACAGTATAGCATAGGGTGGTATCTAACAAATTTCCTGTTAAGTAAATGTTGGCTCTTTTTAGTAATCAATTTGTTTTACACCCCAGTGTTAAGACTTTTCTGTTGATGTTAGCACTACAGGTTTTGAAAAGCCATTTTAACAATGTTAGATTTAATGAGATGATTTGAGCCTTAAGTCTTAAAACATACGCAAATGAAAAGAAAATTTTCAATATTTTAATTATGCAAACAGATGATTCCCATAGATGAGGGTTTTTTAAACTTTTTATAGCAGAATGCTGTTTTCTAAGATGTTTTATGGAACCTCAATATATAAGACAGAAAAATAATATATCAGCTTTAGAATATTAATTTATGATAAAGTCACTAACCACAAAGTGAGACTGTTAGATTAAAGGAAAATTTAATTTAGGGGTTTTATGGGTTATTGTTGCCATTTTATCAGCTTTAATATATACCTTATCTCTGTATTTTGTTTTAGTTTAATAACATTATTATTTTGTGTTTTTTTTTGAGACGGAGTTTCGCTCTTGTTGCCCAGGCTGGAGTGCAGTGGTACAACTCGGCTCACCGCAACCTCCACCTCCCAGGTTCGAGCGATTCTTCTGCCTCAGCCTCCCGAGTAGCTGGGATTGCAGGCATGTGCCGCCACGCCTGGCTAATTTTGTATTTTTAGTAGAGACGGGGTTTCTCCATGTTGGTCAGGTTGGTCTTGAACTCCTGGCCTGAGGTGATCCGCCCACCTTGGCCTCCCAAAGGGCTGGGATTACAGGCGTGAGCCACCACACCCGGCCAATAAGATTATTATTAATATTAATAATAAAAATATTGAGTTACAGAGATAAATATTTATACATAATAATAGGTATTCAGTAGTTTATCTTTTAGTCTCAGGATTGTCTTACTGATACTGGGGCTCAAAGGAGGTACAGAAATTTTTGTTTCAAAATCAGTTAATTAAAATTGTATAACAACTACTCATACTTCTTAGTTATAAATGATTGTCAAACAAAAAGAGCATCCAAAACTGAAAATAACCTTTGAAACTATCTGTAAGTCAACATTATGAAGACATACGAAACTTCACTTCTCATTTCACACCTTACTACACTGATAGAACTGTTCCCTGAGCCGTTGTGTTAAAGTCTTTTGTGATAACTATGCTGTAGAAGTGCATTTGCTTCAACAATTTTATTTAAGTCGATGTATGCAAGCATAAGCATAGGTTTTCTACAGAGCTGCTATTTTAACCACCATTTTCTTTTGAAGAACTAAATAAATGCACAGAGAAAAGCATAAATGAGTTACTTGCCAGCAAGTATTTATGTTTTGGTGAACCTCATTGTGTTCATATTTAGAAAATAACATTTGGATTGAGTTTTTTTTTTTTTTTTTTTTTTTTGAGACGGAGTTTCACTCTCGCCCACGCTGGATTGCAGTGGCGCAATCTCGGCTCACTGCAACCTCCACCTCCCGGGTTCAAGTGATTCTCCTGCCTCAGCCTCCCGAGTAGCTGGGATCACAGGTGCATGCCACCACGGCCAGCTAATTTTTGTATTTTAGTAGAGACGGGTTTTCACCATGTTGATCAGGCTGGTCTCGAACTCCTGACCTTGTGATCCTCCCACCTCGGCCTCCCAAAGTGCTGGGATTACAGACGTGAGCCACCACACCCAGCCATTTTTTATACTTTTTAAAACATAGGCATACCTCCTCATTTTATTGTGGTTCACAGTGCTTTTTTTTTTTTTTTTTAACAAATGAAAGATGTGGCAACCCTGCATCAAGCAAGTCTATCGGCACCATTTTTCAAACAGCACGTGCTGTCTCTGTGTCAGCATTTTTTAGCAATAAAAAATGGTTAAGGTATGTACATATTTTTTGACGTAACACTATTGCGTACCTACTAGTATAAACATAACTTTCTGCATAGTGTAAACATAACGTTCTTATGTACTGGGAGACCAAAAGATTTGTGTGACTCACTTTATTTCTGTATTCGCTTTATTGCAATGGTCTGGAACCAAACCCACAGTATCTCTGAGGTATATCTGTACTTAAAATATATTTGAAATTTGAATTCAAATTTTAAAATTTCAAAACCCCTAACAATATGAAAGTCTTTTATAAAACCTTCCATCAACAAATGCGTTTGTAGGCTAATGTGGAGTAGCCAACAAATTTGAGGTAAATTTTTTTAGTTATCCACTGGCTACCTTTGTATCATTAATCATTCCATTTGCAGATCCCAAGTGTCCTTCAAGATATCACTGTACTCATGAAGCTGGTGTACATAGTGTTGGGCTAACTTGGATTCATAAACTTCACAAATTTCTTGGATCAGGTGAGTTTACTAACTCTCTGCACTTTTAATAGATTTCAGAGGAAAAATAGATTTAATAGATTTCAGAAAAGTAGTTTGGAATAGAAAAATGATAGAGAAAATCAGTGAAACCGAAAGGTTCTTTGAAAAGATCAACCACATTTCACAAGCCTTTAGCTAGACTAACTATAATCAAGAATAAAAGCAGGGATATTACTATTGACCTTACAGAAATAAAAGATTATAAAGGAATATTATGAACAAATGTATGCCATTTACATAATCTAGATGGAATGGACAAATTCCAAGAAAAAAAAAAACTACCAAAACTGACTCAATCAGGGTCTGGGATAATTTGCTTTAAAAAAAAAAAAAAAAAAAAGGCCGGGTGCGGTGGCTCACGCCTGTAGTCGCAGCACTTTGGGAGGCCGAGGTGGGTGGATCACAAAATCAGGAGATTGAGACCATCCTGGCTAACATGGTGAAACCCCATCTCTACTAAAAATACAAAAATAAATTCTCCGGGCGTGGTGGCGGGCGCCTGTAGTCCCAGCTACTCGGGAGACTGAGGCAGGAGAATGGTGTGAACCTGGGAGGCGGAGCTTGCAGTGAGCCAAGATCACGCCACTGCACTCCAGCCTGGGCAACAGAGCGAGACTCCGTCTCAAAAAAAAAAAAAAAAGGCTGGGTGCAGTGGCTCATGCCTTTAATCCCAGCACTTTGGGAGGCCAAGGCGGGCGGATCATGAGGTCAAGAGATTGAGACCATCCTGGCCAACCAACATGGTGAAACCCTGTCTCTACTTAAAATACAAAAATTAGCTGGGTGTGGTGGCACACACCTGTAGTCCCAGCTACTCGGAAGGCTGAGGTAGGAGAGTCGCTTGAACCAGGGATGGAGGTTGCAGTGAGCCGAGGTCATGCCACTGCACTCCAGCCCAGGCGACAGAGCGAGACTCTGTCTCAAAAAAAAAAAAAAGTTAGGCCAGGCACAGTGGCTCACGCCTGTAATCCCAGCACTTTGGGAGGCCAAGGCTTGTGGATCACCCGAGGTCAGGGGAGTTTGCGAACAGTCTAGTCAACATGGCGAAACCCCGTCTCTACTAAAAATACAAAAATTAGCCAGGCATGGTGGTGTGCGCCTATAATCCCTGCTACTCTGGAGGCTGAGGCAGGAGAATCGCTTGAACCCAGGAGGCGGAGTTGCAGTGAGCCGATATCGTGCCACAGCACTCCAGCCTGGGTGACAGAGCAAGACTCCGTCTCAAAACAAACAAACAAAAACTGACACAAAGAGATTGATTAGTAATCAAAACTATCCAAAAAGAAAAGCTGAGGACCACATGGATTCACATTTAAAGAATTAATACCGGTCAGGTGCAGTGGCCTACGCCTATAATCCCAGCACTTTGGAGGCCGAGGCACTTGAGGTTAGGACTTCAAGACCAACCTGGTCAAAATGGTGAAACCCTGTCTCTACTAAAAAAAAAAATACAAAAATTAGCCAGGCATAGTGGCGGATGCCTGTAATCCCAGCTACTCGGGAGGCTGAGACAGGAGAATCGCTTGAACCTGGGAGGTAGAGACTGCTGTATTCGAGTCGAGATCACACCACTGCACTCCAGCCTGGGTGACAGAGCAAGACTCCATCTCAAAAATGAAAATAAAAAATAAATTAAAAAAAAGAATTAATACCAATTATTCACAGAGTGAGAGCAGTTAAAAAAAATCTAGCAGCCTTTCATGTTAAAAATACTCAACAAACTTAATAGAAAGGAACTTCCTCAAACTAGTGAGGAAACTTTTCATCTACAAAAAACTTGGAACCAACACAATGCTTAATGGTAAAAAGACTGAATCCGTTATTGGCTTTCTACTGCTACTGTTGTAAATCATCACAGACTTAGTGGCTTAAAACATGACAAATTTGTTATCTTATAGTTTTGTAGGTTAGAAGTCCTGCATGGTTCTCACTGGGCTTAAGTTGGCACAGCAGTTTTCCTTTCTGAAAGCTCTAGGGTAGAATGCATTTCCTACCCTTTTTCAGCTCCTGCCACATTCCTTGGCTTGTAGTCTCTTCCTCTATCTTCAAAGGCAGCCAGCAACAGTGGGCTGGGTTGAGTCCTCATGTTGTATCACTCTGTTTCACTTTTAAAGAAACTTGTGGTAACATTAAGTCTGCCCGGATAATCCAAGGTAATGTCCCTATTTAAAAAAAAAAAATTCTTTTAAGAGACAGAGGGTCTCACTCTGTTGTCTGGGTGGGAGTGCAGTGGTGCAGTCATTGGTTGCTGCAGTCTCGAACTCCTGGGCTCAAGCAGTGCTCCTGCCTCAGCCCCCAAAGTATCTGGGACTACAGGAGTGAGCCACCATGCCCAGCTAATTTTTGTGTTTTTTGTAGAGATGGGGTTTTACCGTGTTGCCCAGGCTGGTCTCAAACTCGTGGGCTCAAATGATCCACCCACCTCAGCCTCCCAAAGTGCTAGGATTACAGGTGTGATCCACCGCACCTGGCCATCAAAATTTAAATCTTTTTTCTTCAAGAATACTATTACAAAAGGGAAAACAGCCCACAAAATGAGAGAAAATATTTGTGTGATAATGGACTCGTATGGAGAACAATATAAAGAACCCTTAGCATTTGATACAGTTGGGCAAATAGCATATATATAAAAAGATGTACAACATTATTAGTCATTATGGAAATAAGATACCACAAAACCACAATGAGGTATCACGTCATATCCACTAGTATAGCTAAAATGAAAAAGATGGACATTAACAAGTGTTGAGGATGTGGGAAAAAATGGGGACTTTTATACAGTGCTTATAGAAATGTAAAATGGTACAGTCTTTGGAAAACAATCTGGCAGTTCCTCAAATGATTATTCATAGAGTTACCATGTACCTGATAGTCCAGTCCTGAGTATATTTCCAAGAGAAATGAAGACCTGTATCCACACAAATACTGGTACATGAGTGTTCACAGCAGCATTATTCATCATAGCCCAGAAGCCACATACCCAAGTGTCCATAAGCTGATGAATGGATAGATAAAATGTGGTGTGTCTATACAACAGAGTATTATTCAACAATGAAAAGGAATGAAGTACTGATACATGCTCCAATATGGATGAACTGTGAACAGATGCTAAGTGAAAGAAGCCAGTTACAAACAACTGTATGGCTGTTTATATGAGATGTCCAGAATAGACAAATGTACAGAGACAGAAAGTAGATTAGTTGCCTAGGTCTGGGAAGTTTGGTAGAAACTGAGGAGTGATTGCTAATGGTTATGTGGGTTTCTTTTGGGGAAATGAAAATATTCCAAATTGTTAATGATAGGTATACAATTTTTTTTTTAGACGGAGTTTCACTCTTGTTGCCCAGGCTGGGGTGCAATGGCATGATCTTGGCTCACCACAACCTCCACCTCCTGGGTTCAAGCGATTCACCTGCCTCAGCCTCTCGAGTAGCTGGGATTACAGGTGCCCACCACCACGTCCAGCTAATTTTTGTGTTTTTAGTAGAGACGGCGTCTCGCTATGTTGGCCAGGCTGGTCTTGAACTCCTGACCTCGGGTGATCCACCCACCTTGGCCTCCGAAAGTGCTGGGAATTACAGGCATGAGCCACCGCACCCTGCCAGGTATACAATTCTTACACTAAAAACTTACTGAATTGTATACTTTAATGGGTATACTTTAAATGGATGACTTGTATGGTACTGTGAATTACGTTTCAAAAAGCTGTTACAGGCCAGGCGTGGTGGTTCACACCTGTAATCCCAGCACTTTGGGAGGCTGAGGCAGGTAGATCACCTGAGTTCAGGAGTTCGAGACCAGTCTGGCCAATACCGTGAAACCCTGTCTACTACTAAAACCTGGGCGTGGTGGCGTCCACCTGTAGTCCCAGCTACTCAGGAGGCTGACGCAGGAGAATCACTTAAACCCAGAAGCCGGAGGTTGCATTGAGCAGAGATTGGGCCACTGCGCTCCAGCCTGGGCAACAGAGGGAGACTCCATCCAAAAAAAAATAAAGCTGTTATAAATTGAGTATCCCTACTCTGAAAAATTTGAAATCCAAAACTTTTCTTTTTTCCATCCTTGAACCTGAGTGAGCTACAAAAGTTTTTGAGTGCTGTCATGACAACAGAAATGCTCATTGGAGCATTTAGGATTTTAGATTTTCAGATAAGAGATGTTCAACTACTAAGTATAATGCACATATTCCAAAATCCAAAAAAAAAATGTGAAATCCAAAACACTTCTGATCCCAAGCATTTTGGATAAAGGATACTCAACCTTTATGAAAATAAAATCAGTGTGGGTAAGCAGCACCCTAGAAGAGAATGATTTCACTGTTCTTAGTGAAACATTTTTGCATTCAGAGACATTACGAAGGAAAATCCTACTTCTTGGGGCGGAAATCTAGACCCCCTGGGAAAGCGTATGCCTATGTCAGAAAAGCATAGTACTTGAGAAGCAATGTTTTCAGACAAGAACCTCACTGCATTTAACCCAATATCATTAGCATTTTAATTTGGAGACTTGTCTAAGCATCATTTCATTTATGTAATGTCTTCCATGGTAGATGAAGAAGATAAGGATAGTTTACAGGAACTCTCTACAGAACAGAAATGCTTTGTTGAACACATCCTTTGTACGAAGCCATTGCCCTGCAGGTAAGGACTCTCCCTCCCTTGTATATCAGAAAACAATTGTTCATTTCAGCAGTTCAGATACGTTTGTATCCGTTACACTCACATCCACAGTATTCACTGCTGAGTCATTTGAAAGTTGCAGACGTGATACTTCTCCCCTAAGAGTGTCCTGCTCATCAGAAGCTTTCTCCTCTCCAGGGCCACTCGACATACTGTTTCCTGACTGGAAGGTCCTTCCCCAGCCCCAGCCCCAGCCCCAGCTTGCTGTCTTCTCTTGGCTAACTCCTACCCTTCTTTCTGATCTTAATGTCACTTCTTCACAGAGAACACCCTTGACTCCCCAGTCTAACTTGGGGCTCTCCTATTCTCTTATCCATTGTAGCACATATTACACTATTTATATTTGCATTTTTTTAATGTCTGTCGCCACTACCGGAATGTATATGTTTCATGAGAGCAGAGACTGTGTCTGCCCTTCACTGCATTGCTGTGTTTATTTGATGTGGTTGCCCATGTCTCCTCTTTGAAACACATTCTCCTTGGCATCCTTGACGTCTGTCCCTCCAGGTTCTCCTTCAGTCCCGCCAGCAGCCCTTTTCTCAAGTTTCCTTCTTGGGCGGGTTCCTCTGCCTCTACTCACTGCTTATAAGTAATGCTCACAACTCTTTCCTTGGGTCTTCTCTATTCTTTCTAGGTCCTTTCCTGAGTAACTTCTGCCGTAATCATGGCTTCAGTGCTGACAGTTCCCGCATCCATATCGCCCTAGCCCAGACCACTCTGAACTCCAGATTCACATACCCAGCTGCCTACTGGGCTCCTCCACTTGGATATCCTATAGGAACATAAAACTCCAGATGTCCCCTTAACTCATCTTCTGTCTTTCCAAATCTGCTCTCTCTCCTGTGTCCCATTTTTCTGAAGGGTGCCATATCACCCCAGTTATCCCCAGTAGAAACCTGGAAGGTATTCTAGATACCTCCCTTTATTCTGTTCATCAATTACTAGATATCTCATAAGCACTCTGTTAGACATGGAGTATACACAGACATGAGACAAATAGCATACACTAAGAAATAGACATAATCTAGGTTTGGCAATACAGAGGACCACAGGGAAAACGCTTGGTGGGGAATGAGAAGGATAGCAAACTGTACCAGCTTGAAAAGTGAACAGTGAAACCAGGCACTGTGGCTTACGCCTATAATCCCAGCATTTTGGGAGATCGAGGTGGGTGGATCACACGGTCAGGAGTGCAAGACCAGCCTGGCCAAGATGGTGAAACCCCATCTCTGCTAAAAACTACAAAAATTAGCCAGGCATGGTGGCAGACACCTGCAATCCCAGCTACTCGGGAGGCTGAGGCAGGAGAATTGCTTGAACCCGGGCAGCACAGGTTGCAGTGAGCTGAGATCATGCCACTGCACTCCAGTCTGGGTGACAGAGTGAGACTCCATCTCAAAAAAAAAAAAAAAAAAAGAAAAGTGAACAAGGAAAATACATAATAAAATCCCATGTAGGCTGGGCATGGTGGCTTACACCTATAATCCCAGCACTTTGTCAGGTGAGGCAGGAGGATCACTTGAGGCCAGGAGTTTGAGACCAGCCTGGGCAACATAGTGAGACCCTTTACAAAAAAATTTAAAAATTAGCTAGGTGAGGCCAGGCGTGGTGGCTCACGCCTGTAATCCCAGCACTTTGGGAGGCTGAGGCAGGCGAATTACTAGGTCAGGAGTTCGAGACCAGCCTGGCCAACGTGGTGAAACCCCGTCTCTACTAAAATACAAAAAAAAAATTAGCTGGGTGTAGTGGCGGGCACCTGTAATCCCAGCTACTCAGGAGGCTGAGGCAGGAGAATCGTATGACCCTGGGAGGTGGAGGCTGCAGTGAGCCAAGATCATGTCACTGCACTCCAGCCTGGGCAACAGAGTGAGACTCCGTCTCAAACAAAAAAAAAAATTAGCCACTGTGGTAGCATGTACCTGTGGTCCCAGCTACTCAGGAGGCTGAGAAGGAAGGATTGTTTGAGCCCACGAGGTCAAGGCTGCAGTGAGTCGTGATCGCACTATTGCACTCCAGCCTCGGCAACAGAGTGAGACCCTATCTCAAAAAAACCCCAAAATCCCATTTATATCAATTTCAGAAACAGGTAAAATTAAACAGTCTTGCCTAGGAGTGAATACATAGATAGGAAAACTATAAAGCAAAGCAAAGACATGATATTATGAATGTCAGAGTAGCGGCTACTTCTCTGGGGAGTGAAAGGCTATGACCAGGGAAG
This sequence comes from Homo sapiens, assembly GCF_000001405.40. NCBI lineage: Eukaryota > Metazoa > Chordata > Mammalia > Primates > Hominidae > Homo > Homo sapiens. The sequence goes on along the minus strand of NC_000017.11, from coordinate 5,392,633 downwards.
GTCGCATGGGAACCCTGAGGCCCCCTGCAGTGTCCTGATTCTTGACCTGGATACTGGTTACATAGTGTATAGCCCAGTAGTGTGTAGATTTCACACTGATAATAAAAAGTTAAAGTTTACAACCTTCCAGATATCGTCTCCATGTCTTGTCCAAAAAGGTAAATGGGAGCTATGGAAGGGGAACTAGTGTTTTCAACTGCTGTTTAAAGACTGCTGGTTCTAAAGGGATGGCGAGAAAGAATAGGTTAAGGGGAACTGGACATTATATTGAAATGAGAGTATTTTAAATGGAAGAGACATGAGTTTGCAAGCTGAGGGGAAGTAGATAATAGGGAGATTTTGAAACGACACAGTTGATGGTACAATTTTCAGAAGGTGTGAGAGGAGGCGGCATCCACATTCGGGGGCAGATGTGTGTTGTAGGCATGCAGGTGGGATGGGCATGGGAGCCGCTAGGAGAGCATGTTGGCAGAATGACAGTTCCCATCTGAGGTCTCAGTTTCCAGTGTCTTCACTGAAGTGGGAAGGAAGACTGAGAGAGATACACGCTGTGCGTGCCAAGTGATTTCCTGTGACATTGACATTGGGCCTCATTGAGAGAGACTCGGTAGTTCTGTTCATTCAACAGTTTCTAAGCACTTAATTTGTTAGCACTGGGCTAGGCAAACAAAGATAGCTGGGGCTTATGTGCAAGTTGGAGAGATCTTCAGTGTAACGTGTAACTTTTGAGATTACAGTCAGCAGCACGCTACAGTTAGGGATTCCTGAGTGACTTAGTCACATGGGCTCTAGACTTTAGTGTGGAGCTGCATTAAAGGTTTCCAAGCCACCACTTTTGAGGTTATGGTACTGATAGGATGTCCCAAGCAACTTCAGCCCAGGCCTGAGAAGGCCGCGGACCTGTCATGTCTTTGCTCTTGGTTCCATTGCATTTGCTGCTTTGTAATTTAACTATGACTGTGTTTTTCCAGGCAGCCAGCTCCAATTCGAGGATTTTGGATTGTACCTGACATTCTGGGACCCACGATGATCTGCATCACCAGTACCTATGAATGCCTCATATGGCCGTTATTGTACGTCCCATTTTATATTCTCCACACAGCTCTTGTTAATTCTGCAATATCTAAGTTGGGAAAATGCACTCAGTAACCAACTTGAAGCTATACATGTGTGGTTTATACTTTGGCTTCTGACTTGAGGGTTGGAAGGATGGATATTTCTGTTCCTGCCATCATCTCTATAAGGTTTCATTGTAGGTATAGTTTCTGGCATCCCCTGCACCTAGCTGAGAGTCAGGAGCTTTTCTTCAGAGTGTGGAGAAAAAATACTAAAATTGAATACCAAATTCCATTATCGATATGAGTAATAATTATCAAGCTGTGACCATACGCCAAGCTCAGAAGTAAGCCACGTACCCGCACTGCCTCCTGGAATCATCAGGGCAGCCCTGTAAGGAAGGCACTGTCATTTCCATTTTATAAAAGTGGAAACGGGGATCGAGAGGTTAGTAAATGCTGAAGTCACAGGTAACAAATAGAGCTGGGATACAGATGCAGGTCTCATTGACTCAGAAGTCCATACTCATACTCTTTAATTTCTCCATCTCTGCCAGCCTGAGGGACACTGTAGACTATGTAAACTGGAATAAAGCTGAACTCAGGCTGGGTGCAGTGGTGGTTCATGCCTGTAATCCCAATGCTTTGGGAGGCCCAGAGTTCGAGATCAGCCTGGGCAAAACAGTGAGACCCCCATCTCTACAAAAAACAAAAAAATTAGCCAGGCATGGTGGTACACATCTGTAGTCCTAGCTGCTCAGGTGAGAGGATTGCTTAAGCCCAGGAGTTTTAGGCTGCAGTGAACCATGATCATGCCACTGCACTACAGCCTGGGTAACAGAGCAAGACCCTGTGTCTTTTAAAAAAAAAAACAAAAAAGCTGAACTCTTAGTCTTTGCTCCTTTAAGGAACTCAGATAATTAAGCTGTAATCACTATGTTCCTTTTCCAACAGCCCTGGAAGATCATTCTGAGTTACATAAATGTAGGAATATGAGTACCAAAAACAAAAGTCACTGGAGCTTCAAACACTAGACAACACCCCCACCCCTTGTCCGTTCAAAGCTTGCACCTCTGGATGCTGACATAAATTCCTAATACTGGCAGTAGTTTACTGTCCTTAGAGGATCTTCCATAGTCTTTGAAGCTTGATTAAGTTGTACTATCTGGATGTAAAAATAAATATAAATTTTGTGTTATTTACACTGAAGGCACTAAAAGCTAGCAAGACCAAACAAAAATAATAAAATCACTGGAGAAAAAATTACCTGTAAGTTACCTCAGCATACTTTTTAAACACCCACAGTACATTTAGTAAAATAAAACCTAGTCACACTAGCTTACTTCAGAATAAATATGAATCCCAAAGGGGAAAAATAAACATTAATTGTCTGGATATTTTTTTTTTTTTTTTTTGAGACGGAGTTTGCTGTGTTGCCCAAGCTGGAGGGCAGTGGCACGATCTCAGCTCACTGCAACCTCTGCCTCCCGGGTTCAAGTGATTCTCCTGCCTCAGCCTCCCTAGTAGCTGGGATTACAGGCGCACACCACATGCCCAGCTAATTTTTATATTTTTAGTAGAGATGAGGTTTTGCCATGTTGGCCAGGCTGGTCCTGAACTCCTGACCTCAGGTGATCCACCCACCTCGGCCTCCCAAAGTGCTGGGATTACAGGCATGAGCCACCGTGCCAGGCCAATTATCTGGATACTTTCAGATCATATTTCTGCCAACTCCCTGAAATACAAGTTGTCTATAAAGTTATGCTATTTCATGAACTTTCACTTTTTTTTTTTTTTTTTTTTGAGACAGAGTCTTGCTCTGTCACCCAGGCTGGAGTGCAGTGGTGTGATCTCAGCTCACTGCAACCTCCGCCTCCTGGGTTCAGGCGATTCTCATGCCTCAGCCACCCAAGTAGCTGGGATTACAGATGTGTGCCACCACACCCAGCTGATTTTTATATTTTTAGTAGAGACAGTTTTACCACGTTGGCCAGGCTTGTCTTGAACGCCTGACCTCAAGTGATCCACCTGCCTCGGCCTCCCAAAGTGCTGGGATTACAGGCGTGAGCCACCACGCCCAACCAAACATTCACGTTAGAATTGTTGCCTTCAGAGTAAGTCACTTGCCATGCTGCCGAAGTCTGTGAGATCTTTTAAGCTCTTTTTGAAGTTTGAGTATTTGCACTTGACTGAATAGTTTTTAGAAATGAAATTATATAGAACCAATATGGTATATACAGCAGTTTCTTGGCTTAATATTGGTTTTGATCAACTCTAAACCTAACAAATAAGTAATTTATGTTTGTGGCTCCGGCTTATAAACTGGCTTTCAAGTCCTTTGCCAAGAATCCATGCTAGGTGTTTGTGCTGCCTTGATCTTTTAGAAAAGAACTGGAAATGGCAGTCAGAAATGCTTTCACAAATCAGGGGCATTGGAATAATAAGGGTGTAGCTTCCCAAAGTGACCTTTTCAAGGTGGAAAACATGCATTCTTGCACTTTTACAAAAGTTACACTTTATTTTATATTCTGAAAGTTCTGGATTAATGTGGTTTCTGCTTTCCTGTAATACAGTAAATCACTCCATGGTAGAATTCAATTTACTTACTTATTTTGCAGAAGTACAGTCCATCCAGCGTCTCCTCCCCTGCTTTGTACTCGAGAAGATGTTGAAGTGGCAGAGTCTCCCCTCCGTGTTCTGGCTGAAACCCCAGATTCCTTTGAAAAGCATATTAGAAGCATTTTGCAACGTAGTGTTGCCAATCCAGCATTTTTGAAGTATGCAACCTTGGGCATAGCGGTTTTATGAATGGGTTCTCTTCTGTCTTCAGAATTACTGTGCATCCTTTCTGTCCTCATCTGTTTCATATACTTTTTACTGTGATAAATTTGGAAGAAACTGGATATATTTGATCAGCTAGTGAATGGGGAGCAGGAGGGAAGTGGCACCTGAGAATGATAAACAGGAAGTGTTTAAAAAGAAGTTAGGCTAGGCCGGGCGTGGTGGCTCACACCTGTAATCTCAGCACTTTGGGAGACCAAGACGGGTGAATCGCGAGGTCAGGAGATCGAGACCATCCTGGCTAACACAGCAAAACCCCATCTCTACTAAAAATACAAAAAAAAATTAGCTGGGTGTGGTGGCAGATGCCTGTAATCCCAGCTACTTGGGAGGCTGAGGCAGGAGAACCGCTTGAACCTGGGAGGCAGAGGTTGCAGTGAGCTGAGATCCCACCACTGCACTCCAGCCTGGGCGACAGTGAGACTCGTCTCAAGTTAGGCTGGGCACGGTGGCTTACAGCTGTAATCCCAGCACTTTGGGAGGCCCAGGCAGGCGGATCACCTAAGGTCAGGAGTTCAAAACCAGCCCGGCCAACATGGTGAAACCCTGTCTCTACTAAAAATGCAATAATTAGCCAGGCGTGGTGGTGGGCACCTGTAATCCCAGCTACTCGAGAGGCTGAGGCAGAAGAATTGCTCGAACCTGGGAGGTGGAGGTTGCAGTGAGCCGAGATAGCACCAATGCACTCCAGCCTGGGTGACAGAGCGAGACTGCATCTCAAATAAATAAATTAAAAATATAAAAAGTTTAAAAAGCACCTGTGACTTGAGTCTATTTATTTTCAGTTGTTTTACTCAGCTAAGGAAAATAAAGGTAGAAACTTTGTTTTTAAGAGCTTCTGAAAAGGACATAGCCCCTCCTCCTGAAGAATGCCTTCAGCTCCTCAGCAGAGCCACCCAGGTGTTCAGAGAGCAGTACATTCTCAAACAGGACTTGGCAAAGGAGGAGATTCAGCGGAGGTATGATGTCCTGTGTTCACAAACCATCGATCCCTGGCTGGTAGCTGATGCTGTATGGTAGCCTAGACCTGGCTTCTGAATAAACTCTATTTCTTTTTGTTTTTAAAGGGTCAAATTATTATGTGACCAAAAAAAGAAACAACTAGAAGATCTCAGTTATTGTCGAGAAGAGAGGTAAGTGTCAAAAATAAGAAGAATACAATAGGTCAGTAAGACTGGAACCATATTCTCACCCTAAGATGCTGAGCCACATTAGGTGGTTTCAGCATCAAGGGGTGGACCTCAAGAGTCTCTTGTGTCTTACATCATTAGGAAAAGTCTGCGGGAAATGGCTGAGCGTTTAGCTGACAAATATGAGGAAGCTAAAGAAAAACAAGAGGATATCATGAACAGGTCAGTGGGCTGTATAACATTTAGTTACCTAGTCAGGTACTAACAACGATATTTAAGAAAATGGGCATTGGCAGGTGCTTACATACCTACGGAACTGAACTGATCCCCCTGCCTCTCCTCTGAAGTATATGTTGGGGAAAACATGAGGCTCTCCCCTAACCCTTCCTATGGGGCCTACTTCAGAAACACCAGATTCATGAATTATGAGCTTGTGATTATGTTTCTCCTAATTAGTAGAGACCTTAAATTGAGATGTTTGCTTGCCTTTTCTAAAGGATGAAAAAACTACTTCACAGTTTTCACTCTGAGCTCCCAGTTCTCTCTGATAGTGAGCGAGACATGAAGAAAGAATTACAGCTGATACCTGATCAACTTCGACATTTGGGCAATGCCATCAAACAGGTAGGAATAGATCCAAACTAGCTAAATTTGGTAATTTTTCTTAAAGCACTTATTCTACAGAAAATTTTACAAAAATGTAAAAAGAACAGATTCAAATAGATACTGTGAAAATGTGTGGCAAACCACTGCCAAAATATCTATTATTTTAATACTTAAGGTTACTATGAAAAAGGATTATCAACAGCAAAAGATGGAGAAGGTGTTGAGTCTTCCAAAACCCACCATTATTCTCAGTGCCTACCAGCGAAAGTGCATTCAGTCCATCCTGAAAGAGGAGTAAGTAAATACTTCCAATCAGCTATTATCGTGAGATAGTTTTTCCTTTACAGTATGCCAGAATCAACCTGTCTTAATAGAAACCTGAATCTTGGTATTTGCATGTCAAGTAATTACTGGGATGAGAGCCACATGATACATAGGGACTTAAGAAATGACTATGGTGGGAGGATTGAAAGGGATGACCTTCTAGTAACATGATTTTGTTGTGTGGCCAAAGGTATTTTACAGTAATTATGTTCAAAAATATTTCCAGTACTTGCACCGTTTGCCACCTTAAATGAATAGTGAACACTATTGCTATCCACCTGAAACCTTCAGCTGTTAATTTTAGCAAAGCAGTTCTTAGATGTTTCAACATTACCAGTTTAAATTCTTAAGAATCCATATAAATGGTTTATTATAATTCCAAAAGTGAGTGACTTTACAATTTTACAGGGGTGAACATATAAGGGAAATGGTGAAGCAAATCAATGATATCCGCAATCATGTAAACTTCTGACACCACCAGGAGCTGACTCACACCTGAACTGAACACCATTGAAGGCTTAAACCCATATTGTAAAACAGGTAGAATTATCTAATTTATAAAAAGGTGTTTTGATGACCTTTGGTGTGGTTCATCTTTTTAAATATGTTGTTTTATAATAATTGAGTAAATGCTTTTATTTAAAATTTGGAATGTGCTTTATAACTCAAGCCTACAGTTGTGTTCAGCAAGGACTCAGGATTATTTCACACTGCACACTGCCAGAACCTCCCTGAACCCTATTGAGTTTTCTCCATATTTGAGCAAGTTAGTTATTCTTGTGAGCTGTGTTTTAAAGTAGCAGCACCAGAAACATGACTCTGAAGAGGGATAGAACCCTAGGATTCAAAGGAGAAGACCACACAGTGTACTTGGCAGCAGCTTTTTTAATTTGAACACTTTCTTCTTGAGGACACACCTTCAGTACAGTTAACAAATGGTTACACCTGAAATCTGCTGAGAGCAGAGCTCAAGATCCACAATTGCAAAGGCCACTGCTGGCTCACTTCCTCACAAGCTGTATTACCTTTCAGAGCTGAGTGAGGCTGTGCTCTACGTCCCAATACTTGTTACTGAGTGGACATGAGGTGCAAGTTTAGCACCTTAAAGGGAGAAAAAAATAGGTTAGTATGCAGAATGTGATTTTGTCCTCACTTCACCTTAAGTCATCTTTTTACACTTGCCAATGTGAGTTCTGAAAGGTACTACTATATCTGCTTAGAAATGGCTGAGTGACTGTCAATTAAAAGCCACATGATAAGGTAGGTTACAGGTAAGAGGTAAATCAGGTTAGACATGCATGAGAACATGTAGGCACAGACTGAATATAAGCACAGGAACACTCGTGAAACCCAACTGAGCTTTTCTTTTGCCTAGAAGGGCTAAATCCTGCCTTCTACATCAGTTCCCATTTATGCTGAAAACCCAGTTGAAAGAATTGTTTCCTACCTGGACAGTGACACAGTAGTTTGTTTCATACCAGAAACACATTGCTAAACAAAACTTAAGAGTCTCAGTTTGGGTTTTTCTACAATAAAGTGAATTCCAACAGTTGGCATTTGCCACAGTAGAGACCACTAACCATTCCCTAATTGTGATGATTTTATTACCCAGCACCATCTTCTGGAGAAAAATATCTGTAAGGTGCTCAGTCTCAGCAGAACACTTCACTGCAAGCTCTAGTTCAGTCAGTTCAGAAAGGCTGTGAATTGCCCACCCTGATTTACAGCACTAATTTTAATAATCTGAAGACAAATTCGCTTGGGGCTTATCCAAGGGACTAGTCTTAAACCTACGTAATTTAAATTGATTGCATTTTATAATTAATAAAATCCCCTGTAACTCAATAGTTATATGTTTCCTTTATCTAAACCATGTAGCACTCTTTATAAAGGGACTTTAAACCAATTAAAATAATGTTTCATGTGCGGCAAGCCTTTAGTACTATTTCCATAATTGGTATTTATTTTTAAATTCATAACCATGAATGCAAGACTACAATAATAACCCAAGAGATGAGGTATGTAGTACTTATCATTTGTCCTATGGAAGACAGAAGTACAGAAGATCTTTAGGGTAAGTCCATAGTGACCTCATTTATAACAAAGACAATTCACTTTAAGTTGATGGTGGCGTTATGTGAACAAAACAATCTACCTAGTTCACTAACTCCCAGAAGGCTCTTTCAGGTACCCTGCTGTTATGCAACCAGTCTCAAAAATGATTTGAAAACCATCTTACTTTTGAACCTCCTGGATGATGAATCCATCCACTGGATATTCCTGGGACAGTACTCTCAGCAGGTATTGATGAACATGAATCAATTCTTTGTGCTTTCTGTAGCACTTCATAAAGTTATGGCAAAGACCTGTTTCACTGAGGCTTTCTTCACACAGGAAAGGAATCTAATGCTTGTAAAATGACAAGACAGATTTCCAATTCTAACTAACTGGCTTTCCATAAGCATTGTCACTTACTTACATTCCAGGTCTGAATTCAAAAGAAAAATACAAAGTATCTGTCAACCTAGTTACCATTTTTGTATTTGACACATTTGAAACAAGTAGTACGTAAGCCTAATGATCCAAGTTGAAAAATTAGCCTATTTAAAAACGTATACTAATGTTTTTCACTGATCCAATAACTAGACTAAAACACTTCAAAAGAGTAGATGGTACCAGTTCGGCTTTATCCTGGTACCCTGTGGGCCCATGAAGATCATCTAAGTATGCAGAAAAAGTGCTTCCAAAGTTTCTTGTGCTTTTCCTTTAACCTTCAACTTCCAGTATATATAGCCCCAGCCAAGTTTTCAGATCCTCATCATTAATTCACTTCATGAATTGGTTTTGTTTGCCACAGTCCTATGGTTCTCAGGTAAGTTTCAGTAGCATTTAAGGTCCTCCAAAGCAAGATAAGATAAAATGGTAAAAGGAAAACAAAATACAGTCAGTAGCCAATGGCCTGCTCTCAAACCTTCATATTTTAATATAAAATATTCATACAGCATACTACACTTCTGTCTGCTAACTGAATACTGTTACTGATGAGCTCTAGACAACAGATAAAGCAAATTCTCTCTTCCAATATCTATGAACAGAAAATTCCAAACACTACTGGGATGTCGCTTTAGGGTAGGGAAATGTGTTCCGAAAATCTGTCTTGGAGAAAGCAGGCAAGGAAACAGCGCTTTTTCCATCACCAAATCTGATCCCACGCCTGTTGGAATCAAGCCTGGAGTTTATAGTGTTCGCATTTGAAGGTCTCTGGGCTGCAGATCACCCCACTGTTTGCTGTTTCCTGTGCCGCACAGTCTTCTCCCTCTAGAAGTAAGCATTTCTCCAGTCTTCCTTTTGTTGTGACTTCTCTTTCTTCAGTTAAGAGTTAAATAATAATTACTGTTGCTCTAAAGATGAGTTAAAAACCCAAAGTGCAGGCTAGAATCCTGCCATGAGGGTGTCATGTCTCAGGAAGCTGGTTAATGTCTGTCAGTTTAGTATCATTCAGAATTGCCCGGATTCTCTCCAAGGAGTCAGCTTGCCGGATCCGCTCTAACTGCACCTGGAGAAACAATGGTGAGATAACTACAGGTGGCTCCTGCCTAGATTTTCTGAACTTTGACTGGTTTAGCTGAGATGTAGCAGATTAACTCACCAGAGTACTAGTCACTTCAAAGGGAGACAGCAAGAACAATTAAAAATTTTAAAAATAATTCCCCAAAGCTACCGTGTAACGGACTGGGATTTTTTTTTGGGGGGGAGAGTTTTGCTCATCATCCAGGCCAGCCCAGGCCAGAGTGCAATGGTGTGATCTCGGCTCACTGTAGTCTCCACCTCCCGGGTTCAAGTGATTCTCCTGTCTCAGCCTCCCGAGTAGCTGAGATTACAGGTGCCTGCCATCACACCTGGCTTGCTTGCTTTTTCTTTTCCTCCAGATGGAGTATTGCTCCGTCACCCAGGCTGGAGTGCAGTGGCATGATCTTGGCTCACTGCAACCTCCACTTCCCGGGTTCAAGCAATTCTCCTGTCTCAGCCTCCCAAGTAGCTGGGATTATAAGCACACGCCACCATGCCCGGCTAATTTTTGTATTTTAAGTAGAGACGGGGTTTCACCATATTGTTGGTCAATCTGGTCTCAAACTCCTGACCTCAGGTAATCCATCCATGTCAGCCTCCCATACTGCTGGGATTATAGGCGTGAGCCACCATGCCTGGCCCAGACTAGGATTTTAAAGTGTAATGTGTTGGGATTATGGAGACAAATGAGACCTGACTCCCAATCCTGAAGAATCCACAGTTCCAGTCCGGGCACGGTGGCTCACGCCTGTAATCCCAGCAATTTGGGAGGCTGAGGCAGGTGGATCACCTGAGGTCAGGAGTTTGAGACCAGCCTGACCAACATGGTGAAACCCTGTCTCTACTAAAAATACAAAAATTAGCTGGGCTTGGTGGTGTGTACTTGTAATCCCAGCTACCCAGGAGGATGAGGCAGGAGAATCGCTGGAATCCAGGAGGCACAGGCTGCAGTGAGCCAAGATCACACCACTGCACTCTAGCCTGGGCAACAGAGCATGACTCCGTCTCCAAAAAAAAAAAAAAATCCGAAGTTCCATTGGGAAAAAAACTTAGTTTTAGCACAATATTCTAAATGTCATTGTGTCATTACAGGCATTCATAGAGTGCCCGAGGGAGCATGGCAGAGGGAGGGGCACTTTAGCCCAGCTCAGGGACCTAGAAGAGCTCCACAGAGGGGACAGACCTACGCTGAGCCTTGAAAGAAAGGAGTCAGGAGGGGATGAGATGAGGATGCTTACCAGACAGAACACCACGCTGTGGGCGAGGAACCACAAGCAGTTAAACATGTAAAACAAGGCAGAGAGATGAGCAAAATACAGGGGTGGGCCTGGTTGGGAAGAGTCTTACATGGTATGCTAAGGAGTCAGTACTTTACTCATAAGGAGGCAAAATTGGCAAGGCATACAGAAAAAGAAAAATGGGCCAAGTGTGAAGAACACACCAGGTTTCTGGCTTGAATGATGAGTCAGACATTTGGGGTGGAGGTAGGAGCAGCCAGTCTCTAAACCTCTAGCTACTGCCAGTGGTCAAGTCAGGGATCGGCAAGGTTCTGTCCCCCAAAACTGCCTTCGTGCTCTGTATGTGGTTCCCCAAATGCCTCACCTGAAGGGTCTGTGAAAGCTTTACAAAATCCCTCTGGACTTGCTCACTGACATCTAATTCTGTCTGTAATCTCTGAGCTTTATTCTTCTCTTCAAACATTAGTTGTTCAACGGTAGCCTAAAAAATACAAGTTTTGAATGAAGATTAATGCCAAAGGGCCGAATTACTTAGGAAATCCAGTAACTTGTAGTTACCTACTACTAGGGCAGAAAGGTGGGTGGATATCCGTCGCACTCCTATACACGACCAATCTCTTTATCTATAGGGCAAGCGTGCAGGCCATCTAGACTACTTGCTCTAAGTCCTGAGATGAACTGGGTATGAAAAGCCAAAGGAAGAAATGGATTAAAGTGCTGCCCTCCCCCACCCCCAGCAGCTGGTGACAGTGACGATAATCACCAAAACAGCTGCTAAGATCGGTGTCTGTCACACCAACAGGGATACATACAGGACTTCCTCTGACAACCTCCACAGTCAAGCATCCACCAGGAAACTTAGTGAATACGCCCCAGCTATCCCCAGTCTCTCTTACAGAAAACCAGCAGGATGTGTGGGAGCCTTTCCAAAAACAAGCAGTTCAGCAACACTGTCTGCACTTTCAGGTCTGACCACTCAGCTCACTAAGACCATTTCTAGGAAACTACCCCCACAACATGCACGTTTATTCTAACGGAACTCATCAAAATTTAGGCAGCAAACCTGGTTTGATGCAATCTCTCTTAGGATTTGATACATCAGTCAAATGGAATGACATTTTCAAAGCAGTGCTTCTAACTGGGCAGTGCCCAGGCTTGGTCAATGGCCCTGACTGCCTACTATCTGAAGCTAGCCTATGACGCAGGCCTCCAGACCTGGCAGAAAAGATTTAACCCAGCTGGAATAGATCAATTCGTTTAAGTTTTTTCTTTTCACAAGCTGTCAGTTTTGCCAACTTTTTAAAAGGTGACACTTCAAAGCACCAATATTTTTTTTTCAACAAGCAAGATGTGATCCTGCATTCTTAGCCCTGCTTTTTAAAATTAAATGACTAATGAAAACACTACCTTAGCAGCAGTCTCTTTCTTTAACTGCTCTTCCAAACTGATCTTTATTTCCTGAAGACTCTCAAGCTGTTGAGACTTCTCTCTTAATGTGGACTCCAACTGTGAAAAAGGAAAAAGCTGAAACTCACAGAAACTCCCTCTGGGCCCCAGTGCACTACCTAAAAGAGCCTAGAGCCTGGAGAATTACACCAAGACACTCGGGCTACACTGGGAATACTCCTCTCACCCTTTCAGCTCTGTGGATCCCCTCTGTATTCTTCCTGAACTATTCTTTCATTAACCATTATTAGGTGCCTACTATATTCTAAGGCCTCAAAATGGAGAAATCAGGGTAAACAGACATGTAAAGGATGAAGAAAGAAGCATTTAATTCTGCCAGAAAAGTTACAAAGGACTTCCTAGAGGAGATGACATTTGACTCCTACATTTTTACAGGGCAAAGACAAGGGTGACAAGGGGAGAAGATGGAGAGATACTCCAATAAGAGGGAATGGATGGCACGCACTAAAAACACATGCAGCAACAGTGGCATGTTCGGCTGGCCTACAGCACAGCACGTTGGGAGCCACAGGCACTGAGGCAGAGAGGTGTGAGGCAGGAGAGCTCTGGCTGGGCTAAGGATATGGACTTGATCCTGTAAAATAAAGGGAACTACGGGAGGGCTTTCCACTAGACTGGGACGCGAACAAGTTTCTAATGTTTAAATATCACCTTGATTTCAATATGGAGATGATTTAGGGACAAATTTTGGAGGCAGGGAAAGTTAGGCTGTTACAATAAGCCAGGTGAGAGTGAAGTCTGAACTCAAAGAGTGGCAGCTAGAATGGAAAGGATGAGATGTTATTTCGAGCGCTGGTAATTTCTGCTGGTGCAATATCAGTAGCAAAGTGGAGGCAGGAGGCAGACTGCAGCAGGTGGAGGGATGCCTGGGAAGTCAGGCAGTGATGATGATCAAGACTGTGGCAACAGAGGGAGGAAGAAAGAGTGGTAGCTCGGGAGAGGAGTGCAATCCAAAGACAGACTTTTTCCTTCTGAATATGAGACACCTGAGCCTGTTCATGCATAATGGAAAAGATCAGTCAAGAGGCAGAAGTTCAAGGCCCGGCACTGCGCGGGGACATCTGGAAAAGTCGGAGATACTCAGTCAAAGCACCTATGCAATGACACTGTGGTCAGAAGCAGGTCATGATATTCTCTGAAGAAAAAGAAAAGACTGGGAATAAAAGGAAAACCTGTAATTGAGGAGCCCAGTAGCTGAAGGTGGCCCTGCCTGATGCCTGAGGAGTGAGGCCAGCATCTGCTGAGAGTGAGGGGGCTGAGGTGAGGTGACTCTGAAACTGCCACTGTGAGGAATGGAAGAGACGCAACTTAGGACACATGAAAGGCTGCATGAGGAACACTGGAGGCCCATCTGGCAGCTTGAGCATGCAGTGTCACCAAGTCTCGTGGCATCAGCAGCTGGGGACAGCAAGACTAGTCCAAGGTTGGGCAGTGGTCAGGTGAGGGCAGCAGCAGGACAAGGAGTCAAAGACCATAGGGACAGGTGTGGTGGGAGATGAAGGGAAGAGGCAGGCCAGTAAGATGCAACCTAGGGGAAAGAAAGCAAGCCATGAAGCTGCTGAAACCAGAATGAAAGGGGAAGTTCAGAGAACTGGAGGTCTGAATGAGGTACTCCGATGGAAGAGCTGGAAGGATGGCAGATTGTGGTCAAGGAACTTAAGGCTGCAGTGAGATGTCACAGTTGGGCAAAATGCAGCCCAGTGTGTGGAAGGGGAGAGCAGGGTGGAGGTGAAAATCTCTAAATCAAGGAACAGTGAGGTCAGGAAGTTGAATGGGGTTACTATGAAAGGAACTAATGATGTCTAAGAGGACTAAGCCAGCTAGAAAATGTCATCTCTTGTTTGTAATGTTTTTTATACATATTTCTACTGTACCTCTAAGCATATAACATGTTATGACCATGCCTTGCCTATCTTCTCACTACACTGGAAACTCCAGGCCACAGTCACATCTTAGCCTTACCTCCTCCAGTTTAACGTAGCCTGACACACAGGGCACTCTCAATAAATCACCAGCACACCCTTACCCCGTGGTTTTCTTCCCACAAGACAAAAGTTCCTTAAGGCAGGGCCCATGCCTTAACTATTTTTTATTCGTTGGGTGCAGCATAGTAGGAGTCAGTAAATAACCACTGGTTGCTGATAGAATTAATTTGAAACTCACGACTTACCTGTCCTTTTTCCACTTTTATTCTTTCTAATTCAGCTTTTAGGCTAGAAATAGAAGCTAGAAGGAAAAAAATGAGATGTATTAGCATTCATCTATTATTGTGCATGAACATTTTTTTCTTTAAAATTTTAGAGCACCCCCCAAAGGATTCAAATGTATGCTGAACATGGGTTCCGGGGGCTGTCTCAAAATTACCACCAAGCAATCAGCATATTTAGGCTCAGGGAAAAGCAGGATCCATGCAAATGGACACTGTGTCATAAACTACCTCTAGATCATGTATCACATCTCTGCAGGGAAATGCCACCCATTGAATCACGTTCCCCTGGTTCTGGGTTCAAGTACTGAGAATCCTATCTATGAATAATTGCCAAAGAGGCCACAGAACTCCTAAAAAGACGAGTTTTCGGCCAGGCGCGTTGGCTTACAACTGTAATCCCAGCATTTGCAAGGCCGAGGCAGGCAGATCACCTGAGGTCAGGAGTTCGAGACCAGCTTGACCAACATGGAGAAACCCGTCTCTACTAAAAATACAAAATTAGCTGGGTGTGCTGGCACACATGCCTGTAATCCCAGCTACTCGGGAGGCTGAGGCAGCAGAATTGCCTGAACCTGGGAGGCAGAGGTTGCGGTGAGCCAAGATCGCGCCATTGCACTCCAGCCTGGGCAACAAGAATGAAACTCCGTCTCAAAAAAAAAAAAAAAAAAAAAAATTTTTTAAATAACCAGAATTTCTGATTATTTGACTATATCAGAATATATATTCAGAATCTGAATATATCAGAATATCTACAAAAAATGGACTGAGTCCTTACTAAATTCTTTCCTAAGCTTTTCTGTGTTCCAGACTCCATGGCCATGTATTGCTTCTTTTACTAAAGTTTTATTTAGTGACTCTAATTCTAAACTACATCACTTTTATCTTCACCTATTTCCTCCTTGCAGTTTTCTATTTCTAGTTGCAGAGTTTCTTCAAGATTTTCTTTTAAACACTGTTCTGCTTGGATCTGCTCTTTTAGGAAAAGTATCTCAGCCTTCAGCTTTTCTTCTACGTGGTCTGCTGCTGTCCGCACATTAATGATGTCCTCACGGTATTTTAATACCAACTCCCGCAGTGCCTGGATTCAAGAAACAAATGATTATTGGGTTTGTGAGAGTGAAAGGAAATAAAGAAGCTAAAGATTTTCTGTAACCAGAATCTCAGATGTTGTTTTAATGGTTCAAAAATTAAGACTTTGACCATTAAGCCACTTAGAGCTTCAGGGCAGGTGCCATGTCAGGTTAACATTCAGTATGTTATAGAAAAGACATTTCTGGCCAAGTCGTATCTTGTAAGCCACATACTCTTCCCTCAAAACTGTTTCATAAGCAGAAAAATAAAAAGATTAAGTGACTTACAATATGCCATTCAATAGAAATAATACCTTAGAATCCTCTACTATTACTTGCAGAAATTTGGGAGGAGTTAGGAAATGAAGACAAAACTGAGTAGCAAGTTCACACTCAGTAGCAAGTGTGAACTAAGAGGATAACATTTATTTACTTACTCACTTATTCATTCATTCAAACATTTACTAAACATCTACCAGAGGCAAAGTACTACCTTAGGCCAGAGGTAAATAATGGCAAAGGTGGCTTTCTAAGGTGGTAAGCTGTTTTTCTGTAATAAATTCAGTATAGAATTTATTTTTCTTCCTAAATTTTAGTTCTGTCTTCTTTTAGAAATCCTTCCAATTATATCCTAAAGCAACTCTAAAGTAAAAACGAGATTCTCAAATAACAATATATATAAAACAACAGTTTTTAAAATTTCCTAAGATTTATTGCTGAAGCAGGTCCAAGAATCAAGGATTACACACTGACTACATTCTTCAAGGATTCTTGGAACTTTTTTTTTCTTTTTCTTGAGACAGGATCTTCCTCTGTCACCCAGACTGGAGTATGGAGTGCAATGGCATAATCATATCTCACCACAGACTCAAACTCCTGGGCTCAAGCAAAACTCCCACTTCAACCTCCCAATGTGCTGGGATTACAGGCAAGTGCCACTGTGCCCGGCCTGGATTCTTGGAACATTTTAAGATCTAGGACTAGGCAGGCGCGGTGGCTAAAGCCTGTAATCCCAGCACTTTTGGGAAGCCGAGGAAGGCGGATTCCTTGAGGTCGAGAATTCGAGACCAGCCTGGCCAACATGGTAGCCAGACATGGTGGCACACACCTGTAGTCCCAGCTACTCAGGAGGCAGAGGCAGGAGAATTGCTTGAACCCAGAAGGCGGAGGTTGCAATAAGCTGAGATTACACCACTGCACTCCAGCCTGGGTGACAGAGCAAGACTCTGTCTCAAAATAAATAAATAAATAAATAAATAAAATGAAATAAAATCTAGGAATAAAGTCTCTAAAGAACATGGAAGACAGGATTCTTTCCTGACAAAAGAGAAAAATCTAACAGGTGGAAGGTGGTAAACAGTGATTTTAAGCTGATAGCAAAAGTAGACAGGTTCCCAAAACCTTTTTTTTTTTAATTGAGACAGGGTCCTCACTCTGTCTCCCAGGCTGGAGGGCAGTGGCGCGATCTCAGCTCACTGCAGCTTTGACCTCCTGGGCTCAGGCGACCCCTCCCACCTCAGCCTCCCAAGTAGTTGTAGCTGGGACTACTACAAGTGTGTGCCACCATCCTTGGCTAATTTTTTTTGTTTGTTTCAGTAGCATCGGGGTTTTGCCATGTTGTCCAGGCTGGTGTTGAACTCCTGACCTCAAGCAATCTGCCTGCCTTGGCCTCCCAAAGTGCTAGGATTGCAGGCCTCAGCCACCATACCCTGCCCCCGATACCTTCTTTTGATGACAGCAGTCACCAATTCAGAAAGGAAAGAAGGCTCTGCCAAGAGTGCCTGTAACATGAGCTGAGACGATAAGAAGTTGGGGAAAGGTGGGAGACAGCAAAGAGCTAATGGCAAGATAGGCAACTGGTTTTTTGTAAATGATGAAATAAACATAAAAAATAACAGTCATGTTAATACATATATAGGAAAAAAGAATGAGGTCCAAATTATAGAGATTGAATCTGTAGGGTATAATTAGGGGAAACTTCTACTTACTAAGATTTCCTTAAAAAGGAAAAAAAAAAAAAAAAAGAAACAGGTATAAAGATTGGATAGGACAGGCACGGTGTCTCATGCCTGCAATCCCAGCACTTTGGGAGGCCGAAGCAGGCTAATCACCTGAGATCAGGAGTTCGAGACCAGCCTGGCCAACATGGCGAAACCGCATCTCTACTAAAAATACAAAAAAAGGCCAGGTGCGGTGGCTGATGCCTGTAATCCCCGCACTTTGGGAGGCCAAGGCGGGCGGATCACGAGGTCAGGAGTTGGAGACCAGCCTAGCCAATGTGGTGAAACCCCATCTCTACTAAAAAATATTTTAAAAAATTTGCCAGGCACAGTGGCACGCGCCTGTTGTCCCAGTACTCAGGAAGCTGAGGCAGGAGAATCACTTGAACCTGGGAGACAGAGGTTGCAGTAAGCCTAGGTTGCGCCACTGCACTCCAGCCTGGGTGACAGAGCAAGACTCCATCTCAAAAAATAAAAATAAAATAAAAAATAATAAAAAAAATAAAAATACAGAAACAAATTAGCCCAGCGTGCTGGCGCACGCCTGTAATCCCAGCTACTCGGGAGGCTGAGGCAGGAGAATCACTTGAACCCAGGAGGCGGAGGTTGCAGTGAGCCAAGATCACACCACTGCACTCCAGCCTAGGGGACAGAATGAAACTGTGTCTCAAAAAATAAAAATTAAAAATTAAGCTTGGATAAAGTTAAGGAGAGAATTATGAATGTCTCTGGGAAACCAGTTTTGTAGCCCAGGTTTACCCAACCACAGAAGAATGTAAGTGACCAAAAGTGCCATCTTTGGCTGGGCATGGTGGCTCACGTGAGGTCAGGAGCTCAAGACCAGCCTGGCAAACATGGTGAAACCCCATCTATACTATAAATGCAAAAAATTAGCTGGGCATGGTGGCAGGCGCTTGTAATCCCAGCTACTGGGGAGGCTGAGGCAGGAGAATCGTTTAAACCTGTGAGGCGGAGGTTGCAGTGAGCAGAGATGATGCCATTGCACTCCAGCCTGGGTGACAGATATTATCTGTCTCAAAAAGAAACAAAAGTGTCATCTTTATGGA
The DNA here is from genome assembly GCF_000001405.40 of Homo sapiens. Taxonomy (NCBI): domain Eukaryota; kingdom Metazoa; phylum Chordata; class Mammalia; order Primates; family Hominidae; genus Homo; species Homo sapiens. The sequence continues at coordinate 5,374,056 of NC_000017.11, read as the reverse complement.
CAGCATGATGGTGAGTGTGTTATAACTTTTCAAGTACTAGATACAAAAACAAACGTCATAAGCAGCCAGCATGGTAACCCCTTCAAACATTTAATTTCTGGCACACTCTCAATCTGGGCCGACAAAAATAACATAGATCTTCAAAACATTAAGGCTACGTGAAAGAACATGGACACAAAAGACCACATATCGTATGATTCTATTCATAGGAAAGTCCAGAATAGGGAAATCTATAGAGGCAGAAAGGTTAGTAGTTGCTTAAGGCTAGGGGAGGAGGGGGAATAAGGATGGTAGCTAAAGGGCGAAGTGTTACTTTTTCGTGTGTGTGTGTGTGTGTGTGTGTGTGTGTGTGTGTGTGTGTGTTTAGCTGGTGTAGTCGGGTCACAGGGAGTTACTACTTGAGGTGATGAAAATGTTCTAAAATTGATTGTGATGATGGTTGCACACATCTGTGAGTACAGCAAAAACCACTGAATGGTACATTTTAAATGGTTGAATTGGCACGTGAATTATATCTGAATAAAACTGTTTACATAAAGAACATACGGCCATTTCAGAAAACGTACTTGTTGACATTTTTGATCATGTGGAAAGTAAGTTACCTCTGTAGTGTCTGGGAGGATGAAGTCTTCTGCTTGCTGTAATGACACATGCAGGCTGTGCTTTCCCTGGAGACTGTCATTATCTTTCTGTAACCTCACCAGCTCTTCTGAAACCTGTTCCCGTGACTGCATCAGCACCGCCTAAAATAGAAGTAGATACTAATCACAGCCAGAAAGGTAGATCCGGTCTGGTGATAGCTACACCAGAGAAAAACAAGTCCAAACTAAAGGAGTGCTGAGGATGGACGGGGTATGGTGAAGTTCTGCTAGACTTAGAAAAAGCTGCACAGAGATTTTCTGGTTTACAGCATATATTCAACAAGGGACAGGCAATGAAGCAAGTATCTGAGGCTCATTCTCCACTGTTTCTACAAACCGCTTAAAAATTCTATCTTTTGGTTGGGTGTGGTGGCTCACGCCTGTAATCCCAACACTTTGGGAGGCTGAGGTGGGTGGATTGCCTGAGCTCAGGAGTTTGAGACCAGCCTGGGCAAAACAGTGAAACCCTGTCTCTACTAAAATGCAGAAAGTTAGCTGGGTACAGCGGGGTGCCTGTAATCCCAGCAACTAGGGAGGGAGGCTGAGGCCGGAGAATCGCTTGAACCCAGGAGGCGGAGGTTGCAGTGAGCCGAGATTGCACCGTTGCGCCCATCCTGGGCCACAGAGCAAGACTCCATCTCAAAAAAAAAAAAAAATTAATATTTTCCCTCCATATCCCTGTACTACAGAAGGACCAGGATCTCTAGTTCAATGGAAGTGGCTGACACCATCAAGACCTATATCAGACAGAGCATGTACTCTAAGACAACTCCCATTTCCCCATGGCGTGCACTGGACAGAAAGGAGGGAGAAACAGAGTAGTGTCTTCATTTCCTATTATGTATACCTCTGTTTAGGCTCGGAATCACTGTGAATGGCCCAGCAGGCCCAGATACTGGAAGTCATCAAGAGCATCTAAGCTCAGGAATCACAGAGCACTTGAGAAGCTTATTCTTTTTTTTCTTTTGAGACAGTCTCGCTCTGTAGCCCAGGCTGGAATGCAGTGGTGTGATCTCGGCTCACTGCAACCTCCACCTCCCGAGTCCCGGTTCAAGTGATTCTCCTGCCTCAGCCTCCCAAGTAGCTGGGACTACAGGCACGCACCACCACGCCCAGCTCATTTTTTTGTATTTTTAGTAGAGGCAGGGTTTCACTATGTTGGCCAGGCTGGTCTCAATCTCCTGACCTCGTGATCCGCCCACCTCAGCCTCCCAAAGTACTGGGATTACAGGCGTGAGCCACCGCACCCAGCCAGAGAAGCTTATTCTTAAAATGGGACACACTCCCACTTCTGCTTGTTGATGTGTAAAACAATTTTAGGTATTTCATATTATTTGTATCAATATAAAAGTTATCCACCAAATCCGAGTATCAGATAAAGCTCTACAAAAGCACGTGACTCCTGCTAATCTGTAGTACTAAAGTCACTTACCTTAAGGGCACACATACATGTAGATGATGCTCTCATACGATGTTTATTGTGCAGCTACTACTCTATGCCACGTGTTTTGCTGCCCACAGGAAATACAGAGATAAAAGACAAAGACTTTGCCCTGGAGAAGCTCATGGTCCAATAGAGGAGAAAGACAAGTAAACCAAAAACTACTCTACAATACCATAAACTGCTATGACAGAGATTGGGTACTGCAGTGATAAAAGGACAAAGGGGTACCTAATTTGGGGCAGGAAATTGGGAAGAGGGTTAAAGAACACTTCCCAGAGGAGGCGATGACTGAGCTGCATTCTGAAGGACAAACAGGCCTAAGACAGGCAGTCACGGCCATGCATATGCTCTGGCTAAAGCCCACTGGCTCTTATTGTCTTCAGACTAGAATCCACTGTGCTTTATGATCACTGTCACCCATTTACAACAAAATCTTAGTATCCCACCACCTTCTGGATATGAAAGAAGGGAAAAAAGAATATGTATATATTTGCTTGTTTTTGTAAAGAGAAAAACAGAAGGATAAGCCAAAAATAAATTAAAATAATTACGTATAAGAGTGAGTGGAAATGGGGTGAAAAGGACAGGGAATGGAAATGGAGCTGAGTATTTATTTTTATACTTTTGATTATGAACCATGTTACATATTCAAAATATAAATCAAGAAAGAAAAATCAAATCTGAAAATGTAATATAAAGAGAAACAGCCCAGGCGCAGTGGCTCACGCCTGTAATCCCAGCACTTTGGGAGGCCGAGGCGGGTGGATCACGAGGTCAGGAGATCGAGACCATCCTGGCTAACACGGTGAAACCCCGTCTCCACTGAAAAAACAAAAAATTCTCCAGGCGTGGTGGCGGGCGCATGTAGTCCCAGCTACTCCAGAGGCTGAGGCAGGAGAATGGCGTGAGCCCGGGAGGCGGAGCTTGCAGTGAGCCGAGATCGCGCCACTGCACTCCAACCTGGGCGACAGAGCAAGACTCCGTCTCAAAAACAAAAAAAAAAAAAGAGAAACAAATGGAGCTAACTATATATCAAATTCCTAATACAACCACAGAGAGAAAAACTAACATTTGAACACAGTACTTAAACTGTAAACCCTTATCTGAGATACAGTCTAAGGGCAGAACTACAAAGAAATGTTGGCCTTTACTTAGTAGATTTGCTGTTGGTAGTAATATTGATATAGTCATTCTGAAACTATTTTGTCCCCACCTTAACCGAGTGATCAAATTTAACATCCCCAGTAATGGAAGCACCCATCATTAACGTGCCTCATTATGTTATGAACCTCCCATTGAACCATTTCATCTGTGCAGTATTCTTGCCAAGATGTCTAACCTGAATCAAATCACAAGGAGATAATCAGACAAATGAATTCTACAAGACAGATGGCCTGAAACAAAGCAATTGGCCGGATTCTTAAAAATAAAAAGAGAGTGGGAGACTGTTCTAGATGAAAAGTGACTAAAGCGACATGGCAACAAGATGAAATATGTGATCACTGATTGGTTCCTGGATCAAAATATAGAAAATATAAAAAGGAAAACCACCACTAAAAAGTAATCAAGGACTTACTGGGACAACTGGTTAAATTTTAAGGATGTAATAACAGTACTGTAGCGATGCAGAACAACTCTTTGTTTTAGGAAATACATACTAAAATACTTACGACTGTCATGTCTACAATAACTCCAAACAGTCCAGCAAAAAACACAAACCAAGACATACGTACACACACACATCATATACCTACAAACATACACAGAAAGACTAAGAACAAGGGCAAGCATGCACTAACGTGGTGAGTTTCTCTTCTTTATGGTAATTTCAACAAAATGGTCATGTACTGGAGTTCATAGGACCTCAACCTTAATTTCAACAGTTCTCCAGTGTCACTGACACACATTCATTTTAAGTGAAACCAGCTTGAAAAGTGTCTGCAAGGGCTGATGGTTTTAAGAGACAAGAAGGAGGCCGGGCACAGTGGCTCATGCCTGTAATCCCAGCACTTTGGGAGGCCAACGCGGGTGGATCACCTGAGGTAGGAGTTCGAGACCAGCCCGACCAACATGGAGAAACCCCGTCTCTACTAAAAATACAAAATTAGCCGGGTGTGGTGGTGCATGCCTGTAATCCCAGCTACTCAGGAGGCTGAGGCAGGAGAATCACTTGAACCCAGGAGGAGGAGGTTGCAGTGAGCCGAGATTGCGCCATTACACTCCAGCCTAGGCAACAAAAGCAGAACTCTGTCTCAAAAAAGAAAAAAAAAAAGACAAGAAGGAAAAAGATGCAAGGGGTCGAAGGAGTGTAGGAGGCTCACCGCTATGAAACTGTCAGTATTTAGCAGTGATTTTTACGCCAGTGTTATATTGTATTTTCTAATTAGAGAAAACACATGAAACTATGGGTCAATGATTAGGATGAGATGCTTCCCAACAGACCAGGTTTAAGATTTAGGGATCAGCTCATAGGCCATTCAGATACTGACCTAATAATGCCAATTAAAAACATTCAATGACCATTCCACCCAAGGCTTTTATTTTTAAACTGTCATCCCCGGGTAAGCATCAGCCTTGTAGAATCACCCCAGCAGAGCCACCTCTACTTTAATTTAGTTGGAGGCATCAGATGTAGGCTCCAACTTTGAGAAAGGAAAAACAAAGCAAATGCAGCCAGACTAGTGAGGAGGGAGCCCAAGCCTGGGGACTATCTGCAAAGGCTCTAGCCGGCACTTGCTCATAACACTCTGCCCCCATCCCTCTCAGCATAGATGGCCTTCTGGAAGGTCCCCAGCACCACAACAGTTACATGTTTTTTTTCATAACCCCTGTGAAACTAATAAGGTTATTTTTTTTTTCTTTTGAAAGAGAGTCTTGCTGTGTCACCCAGGCTGGAGTGCAGTGGCGCGATCTCAGCTCACTGCAACTTCAGCCTCCCAGGTTCAAGCGCTTCTCCTGCCTCAGCCTCCCGAGTAGCTGGGATTTGCAGGTGCACACCACCACGCCCGGCTAGTTTTTTGTATTTTTAGTACAGATGGGGTTTCACCATGTTAGACAGGATGGTCTCAATCTCCTGACCTCGTGATCCACCCGCCTCAGCCCAGCCCTAATAAGGTTATTCTAAATAAATTAGCCATCCAGGAAAATCACAAAATGACTGGTCAAAAGCTGTACCAGCTAGGGCTCTCAGACATTCAATTTTTTAGCTTTTATTTGGAATTAAAAATTAAATTAGGTCCATAGTTTATTCTGTTTAGGTTTCCCAAATCAGAAAAATAAGTTAAACGATGAGAAAAAATTTTTGTTTGGCCAGAAAGTAGGTTTAAAAAAGGAATAATGTCTTTACAATATTTTGTCCATTATTAATGTTCTACAGTCCCGGGAGAAGACAACAGTAACTACTTTGGACAGGATGATAAATTCCTATCAAAGATGATGTCAAGATAGAACAAAAAAGGAATATATAGTAACATAGTTGTCATTTACTTAAAATGTAAACTTACCATCTGTTCCTGAACATCCCTCTTTGCCTGGGAAAGCCCCTGCTGTAACTCTTCAAGTAAGATCTCGGAGGCCTGGGCTCTTAGGACGAGTGCAGAGATCTTTAAAAAAACACATGTATAGAAACATAGTTAGGAAATCGGTTATTCTGAAACTAACTCTTCCATCTTCTAACTATTTAGTGTCTGGAATTGACATTTTATTTGTTCATGGGAACCACTGACCATCATCCAACAGCTGCATGCACATCTGCTATGTGCAAAGCCTTGGCCTTTCAGATAACACAAGGCAGTGCCAAAACCCGAGTCACATGCAGCCATACATTAACAAAGAGCATTCTATGGGTTTCTAGGCAGACAGTAACTCACGTGACCTAGTTGTAGCTATGTTTAAAGATGTTTAAAAAAAAAATCAGGCTGGGTGCAGTGGCTTATGCCTGTAATCCCAGCACTTTGGGAGGCTGAGGCGGGCAGATCACCTGAGGTCAGGAGTTCGAGACCAGCCTGGCCTGCATGGTAAAACCCCATCTCTACTAAAAGTAAAAAAAAATTAGCTGGGTGTGGTGGCGGGCACCTGTATTCCAGCTACTCGGGAGGCTGAGGCAGGAGAATTGCTTGAAAACCGGGAGGCAGAGGTTGCAGTGAGCCCAGAACGCACCCTGTACTCTAGCCTGGGCAACAAGAGCAAAACTCCATCTCGGGTTTAAAAAAAAAAGAGAGAAAATTTTATTTCACATAAATCACAGTGCAGAATTTAGCACAAAAAAAAGGCAAACAGACCAACTGAACAGAAGATAGTTCTGAAACTAATCTACACAGAGCAATGGGGGAAAGGTGGATCTTTTCACCAAGTCATACAGAAATTGGCTATCCATACTTTTTTTAAAAAAAAGTTTTACCCTTGGCTGGGCACGGTGACTCACGCCTGTAATCCTAGCACTTTGGGAGGCCGAGGCGGATGGATCACAAAGTCAGGAGTTCGAGACCAGCCTGGCCAAGATGGTGAAACCCCGTCTCTACTAAAAATAAAAAATTAGCCGGGCGTGGTGGCGGGTGCCTGTAGTCCCAGCTACTCAGGAGGCTGAGGCAGGAGAATCGCTTGAACCTGGGAGGCAGACGTTGCAGTGAGCCAAGATCGTGCCACTGCACTCTAGCCTGGGCGACACAGCGAGACAAAAAAGTTTTACCCTTATCTACACTGTGTGTGTGTGTGTGTGTGTGTGTGTATCTAAGTTCTAGAGGAATTTTAGATATAAATGTGAATAAAACCTCTATAATATAGGATATCTTCATAACTCCATAGGAAAAGATTCCTTTTTAAAAAGGAGGAAAATCACAAACCATAAAGAAATAATTAATAAATTTGATTTTTTTTTTTCTTTCAGACGGAGTTTCACTCTTGTTGCCCAGGCGGGAGTGCAATGGCATGACCTTGGCTCACTGCAACCTCCGCCTCCCGGGTTCAAGCGATTCTCCTGCCTCAGCCTCCCAAGTGGCTGGGATTACAGGAATGCGCCGAAACACTCGGCTAATTTTGTATTTTTAGTAGAGACAGGGTTTCTCCATGTTGGTCAGGCTGGTCTCAAACTCCTGACCTCAGGTAATCTGCCCGCCTCGGCCTCCCAAAGTGCTGGGATTACAGGTGTGAGCCACCGTGCCCGGCCAAATTTGACTACATTATTAAGGACTTCTGTTCATTAAAAGACACCATTAATGAAGACATAAGCTACTGATGGGCCAGGTGCATGGCTCACACCTAGCACTTTGGGAGGCCGAGGCAAGTGGATCACCTGAGGTCAGGAGTTCAGGACCAGCCTGGCCAACAACGTGAAACCCCATCTCTACTAAAACTACAAAAATTAGCCAGGTGTGGTGGTAAGTGCCTGTAATCCCAGCTACTCAGGAGGCTGAGGCAGGAAAACTGCTTGAACCCGGGAAACAGAGGTTGCAGAGAGCCGAAGTTGCACCACTGCACTCCAGACTGGGTGACAGAGCAAGATTCCATCTCAAAAACAAAACAAAAAATATAAGCTACTGAGTAAAAGACACCTGCAACACCTATCACCAAAAGATTCTAACATTATATAAAGGACACCTAACAAATCAGTTTTTAAAGACCAAAAAAAGTAAAATAAACAGACCACCCAATAAAAAGATGAGGATAAGACTTGAGCAGGAATCTCTCACACACAGAAAATCCCAATGGCCAAGAAACATGAAAAATGCTAAGTAACTTCAGTGGTCATTAGAGAAATGCAAACTAAGCCACAGTGAAATACCATTATACATCCACCGAAATGGCTATAATTAAAATAACAAAATGACATTTTTCCACACCTTGGAACCACAGGAACTCTCATACATTGCTGGTGGAGGTATAAACTGGTATAACCACTCTGGAAAATTATTTGGCATTTTGAACATTTGTACCCAAGCATTCCACCCCTAGTTACATATCCTGCAGAAACATGTCCACCACGCCCTATACAAAAATTTCAAAGGAACATTATTCATAATATCCCAGAACTGGAAACAACTGAAATATCCATCAACATTAGTCTGGATAAATTGCGGTATATCCGTATAATGATATGACTATTCAACAATGAAAATGAACAAACACTCCGTGCATCACGAGTAGGAATAGTACACTGTTGAACGGAGGAACACAGACGCAAAAGAACACAGAACGTATGGCTTCATTTTCTAAAGTTAAAGCACAGGCTAATCTAATGGTGTTACAAGTTAGGACAGTGGCTGCCTGTCGGGAGGGAGTTGTAAGTGCGGGGAAAGTGAGGGCTTCTGGGGTACCAGCTAATATTCTATTGCTTGATCTCAATGGTGGTTACACAGATGTTGGTTCTGGTATGTTTGGTGTATCTGTATATGTTTTTTTTTTCTTTCATGTTGCTATACTTTTAAAAAGTTTAAAAGAAAATAATTAGTATCTTTGTCAGCAAGTTTCCAGTGCAGCAGGAAAACCTAACTAATACAAATAAAGGAAAGGAGAATCAGAACCTCCTGGCATTTACTGACCAATTATTTTGAAAGTTATTCTTTAAAAATCTGTAAAACAGAGATCACAGAATGATCAGTAAGAAATCTTTTTACCTGAGGGAAAATAAAACTGCCAAATCTTCAAGGCAAAAAAAAACATGACTATATTTTTTGAATCTTTCATTTAAATAACCCAGTCATCCCTCATGGGCCACAGTCTATAAACCCTCCCTTACCTGGTGACTCGAATCTTCGCTGCTTTGCTTTATGAAGTCTTCCAGCTCCTGCTTATCTTTCATTGTCTTCTCTAACTGGTCATTAGCTTGCCTTAGCATCAGCTGTAGTTTTTTCACCTGTATCATTTTAAAAGTCAATTAGAAAAACCAGAATCCTTTTATAATTTTTTTTTTTTTAAATCTAACTCCAGAATTTTAAAAAAAAATCTCTTATGTCTTTTTCTGGGAAACACCACAGATTTTCTAATTCAGACAGAAATTAGATAAATGACCTCAAGAGACAACTGTACTGTGGTTTACAGTTAACAAATCATTTTTCACACACATCTCATCTGAAAACATCTGCTTCTCCCTCAGATCCTCTAGACCATGACACTGTTCTCCCTAACTAGAGTGTATCCTCTGTCTCCAGTCTACAATCCACACTAACACCAGAAATTTTATAAAAGTGAAATAATATAATTTCCCTACTTAAAACTCTAAATGCCTCTCAAAGTCTTCAGGGTAAATTTTTTTTTTTTTTTTTTTGAGACAAGAGTCTCTCGCTCTGCAATCTCGGCTCACTGCAACCTCCACCTCCTGGGGTTCAAGGGATTCTCCTGCCTCAGCCTCCCGAGTAGCTGGGATTACAGGCATGCACCACCACACCTGGCTAATTTTGCATTTTTAGTAGAGGTGGGGTTTCTCCATGTTAGTCAGGCTGGTCTATGAACTCCTAACCTCAGGTGATCGGCCCGCCTCGGCCTCCCAAAGTGCTGGGATTATAGGCGTGAGCCACCATGCCCGGCTTCAGGGTAAAATTTAAATCTCTTCAATCATCACCCCTCCCTAAGTGATGTCTTCATGGCTTTCCCTTGTAGCTTACATTCCCATTATTTCGTAACAGTCACCCCCTGTGCCCAGCCACATAACTACTCATACTTCCTACAATACATCATTTTCTTTCCTAACTCTGTTCTTTGTATATTTTTTCTCTCCATGAACACCCTTTTCCCACTTCTTTTTCTGACTAATTTTTAGCCAGGCTTTAAAACAGTCTACTGAAATGTTTATGAAAACCATTCCTACACCACACTATCAGGGGCCAACTACATTAGTTTTGCAAATACATTTAGAAATTTACCTTTGAAACATCTATGCGTAAAGCACACAGTGTATGAAGGAACTCAATAGCAATGACATTTGAAAATATTAAACCATCATTCTAATTGGCTTGAAGTTATTTTGAAGGCTAAGGGAACAATCTTCATAACAACCAAAGAACAATTTGGAAATATGAGGGAAAAGTATCTTTCTTACGTAGACTTTGACAAGCCCACTCTCATGAATTTCTACATTATTTCCTAACTGCTATCAAGGTGCCCATTATTAAACACTGCACTTGAAAAAGTACTGAAGATTTATCAATCTCAGCATACCAAATCTACCAAAGCTTAATTTCTGGGAACTTATTAACCTTAATTCAACAAATTTATGACAAGAAATGAGTAATATGCACTGAAGGACACAAATTCTGATTAATATAACATTCCATTAAGCCTTTATTCTACTGGAGGCAACAATCAACCTTTTATCTCCCTGAGATCTCCATATCATAAAGTACTTGCCATGTACTTAAAATCACTTTTAGGCCTTAGGCGGAAGGGGCAGGGTGGAAGAGATTAGGTAGTGTCCCTTTAAGAGTTGGGCAGACCTGTGCAGATATACAAAAACAGAGTCCTGGCCGAGCGCGGTGGCTCACACCTGTAATCCCAACACTTTGGGAGGCTGAGGCAGGTGGATCATGAAGTCAGGAGTTTGAGACCATCCTAGGCAACATGGTGAAACCCCATCTCTACTAAAAATACAAAAAATAGCTGGGGGTGGTGGCGTGTCCCTGTAATCCCAGCTACTCGGCAGGCTGAGGGAGAAGAATCACTTGAACCAGGGGGTCGGAAGTTGCAGTGAGCTGAGATCCCCCCTGCACTCCAGCCTGGCAATAGAGCGAGACCCCCTCTCAAAAAAAACAAACAAAAACAAAAACAAAAAAAAAAAAAGCAGAGTCCTAGTGAGCTCCCACTGGAAATGTAACTGCCATTGCATGTACCAGGTTATTTCATAACTTAACAAGATGGATATGCTTCATAATGTAAATGGGGCTGGGGCCGGAGAGGGGGGCAATTAATTCTGCACCTCCAATGAAAACGACAATATCCAATTTGGCGCATCCAGAAGAAACTCACCTGGTCTCTCGTTTCAGCCTCCTGAATCTGAATTCCTTGTAACTGTTTTTCGTAATTGGAACACATATCACAACGTCTACCAAGTTTATTTCCAGCATTATGTACCTGAAGGGCACCAAAATTACCTCTTATCAGGCAAAACAATTCTACATCACACACTTGAGGTACACGTGCATAGTCTTACCAATGGTAGTCAGTAGAACATGCAGTAAACACTTTCTTCAGGGCCTTACGGCAAAAAGTTACAATATAGGGTCAGATTCTAAAAAATCAAACTCTCCAGTACAAGTATGATAGGACACATGGGACACAATTTATCGCCAAGAGGCACAAAACATCACATGTGAGGAAAACACAAAGCAAGCAAAAGGTACTATCCCATGGCACTCATGGTATAATACTAAACAACCAAAGGGAAGGAAAGACAAATAAAAACAGTGCCAAGTCACCGTTTCACCAGCTCCAATTATAAAATAGGTACCAAACTAGTAAATAGCACCTTCTCACGTATGTGTTACATAAGACCAATGAGAATAGTTTCTTTCAGGCCTCAGTAAGCTGTTCCACTTACTGACCGGTGGCTTCCTTAAAGGGAAGCAGCCCTCAGTCAAGGAAAGCACCAGGAGTCAGGTTTTGCGACTAAGTCAAAGGGAACACTTGAGCAACTCACTTTATCTTTCCCAGCCAGTTTTCTCACCTGTAAATGGGAGATAACCATGCCCCACTTGCCTCATTATAATGATAAAGCTTAAAGAGATCAGGTATGTGAAAGGCCTTTGTAATCTATAAAGCATTAGGCAAATATCGAAGTGTTTATCTCCTAATCTTACCTGTGAATTTACAAATTCTCTAAGGAGGAAAATCAACTTCATTAAAGATTGGTTTCTTTTCTCTCCCATATTCCCAACCCCTCTTTAAACCCACTCTCAGCATCAACAGCAGACCGGCAATTGCGCTTTTGATCTAAAGGAAAGATGAAAGCCTGGATCCTGCAATACACTGAGATTATAGAAAACTGCAAAGCAAACCAAATCCAGGTTGCTCTAACTTAAATTCCGCAATGCTAGTCAGGCAGATTGCTCCAACCTGAGAGCTGTGAGTTCAGGTGGGGAGGTTCACATTCACTGTGATTAACTAGCTAGCTCCTTTCTCTGTCACAATTACCTGGAATACCCAAGGCAGACTATGACAAGGGTCAGGTGACACACGTTAATATCCACTTGCTGGCAACATGTGCCTGCACTGACTCCAGGAACCGTCTGTTGAATGAACGCTAAATCCCAGAGCTTCCCAGTGTGCCTCAGCGTGAGCAAGAGGAAAAACGTGAGAAAGGTAACTCACCTCTTTCTGCAAGAGATTCCATTCTGTTTCACTAACTAAACGATAACCACTAGGGGACACATAGGCACTCTCCATGCCCTGGGTAACGCTGGAGAGGAGGGACGCTGTCTCTTCTTGTTCTGGTGTCATCGCCTTGATTGCTCTTTCCTGATCTTTGGTTAACATAAACCCACTTGGCATCTGGAGTGACCCAAGGGATGCAGTATCAAAGTTCTCAGACACTGAATCTGCTCCTACCAGTGGTCCAAAATCTGACTCGTCCAGGTTTCCAGCAGATTTTGCTTTGTAGTTATAGCCTAAAGCTTTGGATTGCAATGAGCCCGAGGTTCCCAAGCTGTCTGTAGACTGTGCTCTCCTGAGTCCATCTTTAAACATGTCATTGTCCGATTTACTGAAAGGATCTCCAGATGGCAACAGCAAGCCTGCATCTAAGGAATGAACTGAGCCACGGGTGCTGTCTAAATGCTCCTGAAATGTGAAAATACATATGGCCAAGTTAGACAATTCTCTGCGTTTTTAAAGACAAAAACTATAATAAATGTATTCCGCCACTCATTACACATGATAATCATTAATGTGCTACCTTCACAGACTCATTGAACAAACACTAAGTGTCATTTCTACATGCTGGACACAAAACCAGGCCCTCAGGATACAACTGTGAGCAAGATATAATCCCTGACCTCGAGATACATACGGCTTCAAAAAAAAAAAAGATAAGTAAGCAGACTGTTATAATACTGTGATAAAAGGATGGGCTGGAGCTATGTGCTGAATGCTCTGGTAGCTCAAAGAGCTCCCAAATACGAACAGTTGAGGAACGTCACCTGCAATTCAGTGTGGCGTGTGTCAAGCGCGAGGTGCCTATCATGAATCCAAGCAGAGATATTCCCTTGACAGAGGGACACAGAAGTCTTTCGATAGAGACTTGAGAGTAACTATCGTATAATGATAATTAAAGTCACAGCAGCAAATCAGAACACGTAGGATGAGTGTGTAGGCAAAGAGGGCCAAGGGCAGAACCCTGAGAAAGATTAACATCTTGGGGATGAGCAAAGGAGAAGCCAGAGTAGTGGAAAGGAAATGACGAGAACGTAGTATTTTCTTTTTTTCTGAGACGGAGTCTCGCTCTGTCGCCCAGGCTGGAGTGCAGTGGCGCGATCTCCGCTCACTGCAAGCTCCGCCTCCCGGGCTCACGCCATTCTCCTGCCTCAGCCTCCCAAGTAGCTGGGACTACAGGTGCCCGCCACCTCGCCCGGCTAATGTTTTCTATTTTTAGTAGAGATGGGGTTTCACCATGTTGGCCAGGATGGTCTCGCTCTCCTGACCTCGTGATCCCCCGACCTCAGCCTCCCAAAGTGCTGGGATTACAGGCGTGAGCCACCGCACCCGGCCCAAGAATGTGGTATTTTCCAGCAAGGTGTAATCAACATGTTCAATGTTGTATACTATGCGAAAGCAGATGCAAAAAGTCACATATTATGTAATTCCATCTATTTAAAATGTCCAGAACAAGTAAATCCATAGAGCCATAAAGCAAGTTAGTGGTTACTAGAGGCTAGGGCAAAGGGAAAATGGCGAGTGACTCTAATGGGTTATGAGGTCTCCTTTGGGAGTGATAAAAATGTTTTCAAACTAAAAACATTTGTGTATATATGCAATGCCACTGAATTGTACACTTTAAATTTTATGTTACATGAATTTTATCTCAATTTTTAAACAACGTGGTACAGCACATTCCTGAAGGCAAAAAGCAAACCAGTGCCATTACATGAAGCAGTTGCATAGTTAGTGGGAAATAAGAAAAATGATTTAAAGAAAAATGTAACAAGTTTTCCTTCCAACTAAATTTATTCCATTTAAATGACAATGTTTTAAGATAATATCCTTTCTACGTTTTGTTGTTAAACGCCCTGTTTTAAATGAACCAGAGGAGACTGTGGAATACAGTTGTTGTTACTGGCAAGCTCATGTAACCTATTTTTTTTAATGTTTTAAAAATATTCTTGGTGTAATAAAAAGGTGACAAATTTTGAGTTAATGCCTCCATTTCTTTCCTTTTAAAGATTGTTACTCATCTGAAACTGCAATGGCTAAGAACACAAATCTCGTATATATTAAGCTTACTATGGCAAAGATCCCAAGTAAGTATCCTAATAAAAACTGGGATAAGCCATTCTGTTAGTTTACAAATAACCCTAACACCCACTGCTATGTATCATATACAGTGCTGCTGTGATACTGAAGAGGGAAGGGGCTAGGGATAGAACAGTTGTGAGGGCCATTTGAAAAACATCAGACTGGCTGGGCGCAGTGGCTCACACCCGTAATCCCAGCACTTTGGGAGGCCGAGGCGGGCAGATCACAAGGTCAGGAGATCAAGACCATTCTGGCTAGCATGGTGAAACCCCGTCTCTATTAAAAATTACAAAAAATTAGCCAGGCGTGGTGGCAGGTGCCTGTAGTCCCAGCTACTTGGGAGGCTGAGGAAGGAGAATGGCGTGAACCCGGGAGGCGGAGCTTGCAGTGAGCCGAGATCACACCACTGCACTCCAGCCTGGGCAACAGAGCGAGACTCCGTCTCAAAAAAAAAAAAAGAAAACATCAGACTACAGGCCTGGCGCAGTAGCTCACGCCTGTAAATCCAACACTTTGGGAGGCTGAGGTGGGAGGATAGGTTGAGCCCAGGAGTACAAGACCAGCCTGGGCAACATAGAGAGAACTCCTTTCTACAAAAAAATTTAAAAATTAGCCAGGCATGGTACCACACGCCTGTAGTCTCAGCTACTCAGGAGGCTGAGGCAGGAGGATTGCTTGAGCCCAGGAGATCGGGGCTGTAGTGAGCTGTGATGGTGCCACTGTACTCTAGCCAGCCTGGGTGGCAAGAACGAGACCCTGTCTCAAAAAACACAAAACAAAAGACCCCACATCAGACTACTACATTGGCAATAATATCTTAAAAATGTTTACATCCTTGAATTCAGCAGTTCTTTTTTTTTTTTTCCTGGAGACAGTCTCGCTCTGTCACTCAGGCTGGAGTGCAGTGGCGCATTCTCAGCCCATTGCAGCCTCCGTCTCCTGAGCTCGAGGGATTCTCATGCCTCAGCCACAGTGAGTAGCTGGGACGACAGGCGCCAGACACCATGCACGACTAATTTTTGTATTTTTAGTAGGGATGAGTTCCGCCATGTTGGCCAGGCTGGTCTCAAACTCCTGGCCTCGAATGATCCGCCTGTCTCAGCCTCCAAAAGTGCTGCGATTACACTTGTGAGCCACCATGCCCGGCCAGGCAGTTCTTTTCCTAAGAACTCACACTAAAAAATAAAATAAAATAAAATCAGATGCATCCATAATGATTTTTGTACAAGGAAAAATTATATATAACATTATGACATTACTTATAACGAAAAATTGTATAGTAGTAAAAAATGGAACCAACTTGACTATCAGTGTGTTAATCACGCTTTTCATTTTCTGTATTTCATAATGTTTTGATTTACTGGAGGCCTTGCTGGCTGTGAAGAAACTGCTTCCCAGGACTAGCTAATTTCTAGAGATAATAAACAACTCACCTAACTGTAAACATGCCTTTCACACACAAACCATTCAATCCCAAACCCATATCCCAACCACCTCCCTTACCTAAGTCACACACCGAGCCAGTATTTCCCCTGCCCTAAATGAACCCAGGGCCAGTTCCAGACAGCTAAGAACAGACCCTATACCCCAAAGGCTGCTGGAATTAATTACCAGCCAGTCCTAAACCCTCTGCTCTGCTCCACTTTGCTTTTCCCAAAGAAACCACAATAATAGCTATGGCCCATGCTTTTCTCTCGCTCCTGCTCCTGCCTCCTGACCACCTCTGGTGCTTCCCTGCTGTGGCCATGCAAGGTGTGCTGTACCTCTGCTTCCAGGAGAACTGTGAGTAACACAAAACTTTTTTCAGGGGCATTGAACTCCCTATGTCATCACTCAGTCACCATTATGAATTAAAAACCAGGCAGAAGCTGGAAACGGTGGCTCACACCTGTAATCCCAGCACTTTGGGAGGCCGAGGTGGGCAAATCACTTGAGGCCAGGAGTTCGAGACCAGCCTAGCCAACATAGTGAAGACTTGTCTGTACTAAAAATACAAAAATAGCTGGGCGTGGTGGTGTGCACCTGTAGTCCCAGCTACTCGGGAGGCTGAGGCACGAGAATCGCTTGAACCCAAGAGGTGGAGGCTGCAGTGAGCCAAGATCACGCCATAGCACTCCAGCAAGGGTGAGACAGCAAGACTGTCTCAAAAAAACAAAAAAAGTCACAAATCAATTAGTAGGGAATTGGTTAAAAGAATTATGGTACATTGACACGCTGAAATTCTGTCAGCCACTAAATATCATTTCAGGGAAAAACATTTAATGATGTGCCAAAACCTTAGAGTAGATTTAAGTTGGGGAAAAAATTTGCACAAAACACTATGTAGTTATAATCTAGATTATGTTTTAAAAGTGCAAATAGAGCCAGGCATGGTGGCTCAAGCCTGCAATCCCAGCACTTTGGGAGGCTGAGGTGGGTGGATCACGAGATCAGGAGTTCAAGACCAGCCTGGCCAACATGGTGAAACCCCATCTCTACTAAAAATACAAAAATTAGCCTGGCGTGGTGGCTCATGCCTGTAATCCCAGCTACTCAGGAGGCTGAGGCAGGAGAATCGCTTGAACCTGGGAGGCAGAGGTTGCAATGAGCTGAGATCACGCCACTGCACTCCAGCCTGGGTGAAAGTGAGACCCTGTCTCAAATTTAAAAAAAAAAGTGCAAATAGAAACACATGTGTTCCAGCCGGGGCAACATGTTGAAACACCGTCTCTACAAAAAATTAGCTGGGCACGATGGCGGATGCCTGTAGTCTCAGCTACTCAGGAGGATGAGGCAGAAGGACCGCTTGAGCCCGGGAGGTCAAGGCTGCAGTGAGCCAAGATTGCACCACTGCACTCCAGCCTGGGTGAGAGTGAGACCCTGTCTCAAATTAAAAAAAAAAAAAAAAGAAATATGTTAACATATGTTAACATATATATTATCTCTGGAAAAGAAAATAAGGAAAGGAAGAAAGAGATACATACCAAAATATTAGTTGTTACCTCTGGGTAGGATGATCTATCAGTTATTTTTATTTTGAATGGTGTTTTCTATACTTCCCAAATTTTCCATAATGAACATTTTGTAGAGAGAAAAGCATATTATAAGCATCAGGTTAAAGAAAATGTGAGGTCTACAAATTTCAAATATCTTTAGCCATAAATCCAACTCTCCAAAGCATCTCAGATTAACTTTTGTGTGTGTGAGACAGGATCTCACTGTCATCCAGGCTGGAGTGCAGTAGCAAAATCTCAGCTCATTGCAACCTCCACCTCCCGGGTTCAAACAATTCTCATGCCTCAGTCACCTGAGTAGCTGGGATTACAGGGATCCACCACCTCGCCCAGCTAATTTGTGTATTTTTAGTAGAGATAGGGTTTCACACCATGTTAGCTAGGCTTCAGATTAACTCTAAACCAAGAGTTGTGTCATTATTCTCAATACAAAACAATTATATTCAACATTCAAACTGCAAAACACCAGCTCTGAAAGTCTACGGATCTGTTAAGAGAGAATCAAAAATAAAAATACTTCTCTGTAAATCACAACAAATGTCCCTTTCCTGTTTTCCCACTTTTCAAACATTCCTGGATAGATTACTGCATGATGAAAACACTATGTAATCATTGGCTGTACCCAAAACTTGAGACATTCTCTTGGGAGTCTAAATATTTTTAAAATGCACAGCAGAATTAGACCAAGTGGTTCCCAGTCTATGTCCCAGAACAAAGAATGAACAAAACAACTTCAATATACAGCACTTTTTAGTGTCTACTAAAATTTTTTTTAAGTTTTTCTTAAACATCAAACAATCTGTAAGCATGGGCATATATATAACCACCAGGATGTAGATTATGTATGGCTCAAAGTAAATCTGCAAAGTAAATAGAAACATGATACCCCTGAAAGTAAAGACAAGACCTGTATCCAATTTAAGTGCAATTCATTCACCAGGCCAGGAAAGGAGGTGCCGCAGGGAAGTGAGTGTGATTCTAAGCCGCAGGGACAGGCCACATGAGCATGAACAGTAAGTGCACAGGTCTGGCTACAGAGAGGTGGAGAGCAGTAAGTGAGGCTGGAAGGGCCATTCAACTGTGAATGCCCTTGTATGCCATGCTAGGGATCTTGGGGGATCTTAGTTTTTATTCTAAAGGCAATAAGAGAAGCAGTTCCTTCACTGATAACAAGATGAGCTTTGAAAGATGAGTAGAAGGATTTCAATACTCAGAAAGGCAATGGGAGGAAAGTACTCCAAATGAAGGAACCAACAGACCAAGTGGGAATACAGCCCAAGATGATGACCAACATGGCTAAAATGTAATCCAGATGATGAAGGGCCTTAATTGTCAGAGTGAGGAATGTGTGCTTAATTATATAGGTAATGGGAGTCAATGGTAGTTTTTGAGTAGGGGAGTGGCCTGACTGCAGCTGCACTTAAGAAAATGAATTTGACAGTAATGCTGAGGACGCAGTGGAATGGGACAGGTTGAGGCAGGAAACCCAATGAGGAGGCCCTTGCCACACTGTAGGTGAGAGGTGACAAGGCCACAGAACACCTAACACTTCCAGGTCTCTCTACTCTACCCATTCCTAGTACCTGAAACATTTTACCCTGTGGTGTTATCTGCCAAACCTCACCCATGGCCGTCAGGGATGAAAACCTAATACTGGTTAATACTCTCATATATGCTACAGGGAGTTAAGCATTTCAGCGCTTTAGATAATCTCTTTTTAAACAAAAAAGACAAGTATTAGCAACATGTACTATTCACATCAAAAAAGATTTTGCAGACATTATTTAAAGGTTTATTCTAATGTATTAAATTTTGGAAATACTGGAAAAAAGAACATCTATTTCAGACAGCGAATGAAGCTGCAACATGTTTCAAATAGTGCTACCTATAATGCCATAAAAACAACTGAAAATACTGTCATTTTTATCTAACTTTCACCTCGTAGCTATGCACTTCTCACTTCTCATATGAACAATGTAATTAACTGATGTATGAGTAAGCTAAAATTGTTGACATTGTGTATTTAATGACTTTAATTATAGACTCACTATACCTCTTCATTTGATAACTGGGCTGAAGATTCTTCTTGAGTTAAAGCACACACTACTGGTATTTTTATTTCTTCCTCAACATCTGCTTTTTTGTGATCCTTTCTCTTATTGAGTCTTTGTTGTTCATCATCCTCCTAAAAGGAAGAAAAAAACATATATATGACCCAAGTAACCTACTTAATAAGTGACACAGTTCTTTAACCATTCAAAACAAATAAAGAACAGAGCGTTATGATAAGAGAAAACTGGATACTTACGCTTCTTTGTTTTGTAATCCCATCTAAGGGCCTCTGGCCATTACAAAATATTTTAATATTATAAGCACAAACTAAGAACACTGGTATAAAGAAGAAATCAGGAAGCAGCTTCCAAGAAAAGTATACTGTATAAAGTAAGGCAAAATAAAAGAAAGCAAAACCGCCTCTTCAAATGATCCTTGAAAAAAAAAATTTACACAGAACATTCCTTGTGATTACTGTAGAAAATAAATATGAAAAAGTTTGTTTTTGAGACAAGGTCTTGCTCTGACACTCAGGCTGGAATGCAGTGGTGCAAATATGGTTCACTGCAGCCTCAACCTCCTGGGTTCAAGCAATTCTCCCACCTCATCCTCTCCACATAGCTGGAATCATAGGCATGTGCCACCACGCCCGCCTAATTTTTTTATTTTTTGTAGAGACGGGGTTTCACATTGTTGCCCAGGCTGGTCTTGAACTCCTGGGCTCAAGCAATCCTCCTGCCTCATCCTCTCGTGTAGCCGGGATCACAGGCATGCACCACCATGCCTGGCTAATTTTTTGGTTTTTTTGCATAGATGGGGTCTCACGCTGTTGTCCTGGCTGGTCTCAAACTCCCAGGCTCAAGCGATCCTCCCACCTTGGCCTCCCAAAGCGTTGGGACTACAGGCATGAGACACCACACCCCACCCAAAAAAGTTTTTATAATGTTACACATCCATTAGAAACATTAACAAATGTATATGAATACAAAAGGAATGATTAAAGTTGATAGAATAATTCACTCAACAAAGATGAGTAAGATACCTTATACCTTCAGTGTCACGTAAAACAGCCTAGGGAGGAGAGACAAACAATTACAATACAAGTATGTACAAGGTTCTAAAGAAGGAGAAAAACAATGACTGATTTCATCTGAAGGAACCAGCAAAGGAGGCCCAAAGGAGTAACACTTCAGCTGAATCTTGAAAGATCAGTAAGGTAAGTTTGCCAGTTGCATGAGAAGAGACAATTAAGGGTTCCAGGGAGAAAGGAGGCACATACAAAAGACAGAAACATGGAAAAGCAGGCCTGTGGAGGAGTTCTGTGTAATGTTATATGGATGAAAAATGGGCAGGCACATGAGAAGTAAAGGACATGGAGAAAGAGGTGGTGAGTAAGCACTTAGACTCTGGAATCAGAGATTGTTCAAGCCTCAGATGGGCCATACATGACGTCTCAGCCTGTTTACTATTCTAGAACACAGGAACCGTATAATTGTAGTCCCTACTGCTTATGGAGAGTTTTTGATAACCACTTGACATAAAGATTTATACATAAAGCCTTAGCACAATGCTAGCACATAGTAAGAGCTCAATAAATGTTGAAAAGTTTTAAATGATCATCTTAGTAAAGTTTAGACTCTTTGTTTTTGTTTTTGTTTTTTGAGAGGGAGTCTCACTTTGTCACCCAGGCTGGAGTGCAGTGATGTGATCTCGGCTCACTGCAACCTCCGCCTCCTGGGTTCAAGTGATTCTCCTGCCTCAGCTTCCCAAGTAGCTGGTACTACAGGCACATGCCACCACACCTGGCTAATTTTTGTATTTTTAGTAGAGGTGGGGTTCCGCCAAGTTGACCAGGCTGGTCTCAAACTCCTGACCTGAGGTGATCCACCCACCTCGGCCTCCCAAAGTGCTGGGATTACAGGTGTGACCATCCGCGCCCGGCCAAGTTTAGACTCTTTTAATGGGCAGCAGGGAAGGCAGGATAAGATCTGTACTTTAGAGCAGGGCATGGTGGCTCATGCCTGTAATCCCAGCACTTTGGGAGGCCGAGACGGGCAGATAACTTGAGGTCAGGAGTTTGAGACCAGCCTGGGCAACGTAGTGAAACCCTGTCTCTACTAAAAATACAAAAGTTAGCCAGGCATGGTGGCACACGCCTGTAGTCCCAGCTACTTGGGCGGCTGAGACAGAAGAATCACTTGAGCCTGGGAGGCGGAGGTTGCAGTGAGCCAAGATTGTGCCACTGTGCTCCAGCCTGGGTGACTGGAGTGAAATCCTGTCTCAAAAAAAAGAAAAAAAAAAATCCTTATGTTGGCTTTGACTACACACAAGACGAATGAGTCCAAATTAAGAGACAAAAAGGAAATTTAAAAAAGAAGAAACTTTGCAAAACAAAATCTAACCTAAGTCACATAAAGCAATTTGAAACGTTTGACAAGATACTTAGAAAGGCAGTGAACACTTTTACATAGCTATCCTAGGGAAGTATCTGCACATATACACAATACGGTCAAGGATTTAGCTGCAAGATTATTTGAGATGACAAGAAAAGGGGGACCACCTAGATACACGCTACAAGGAGAAAGGGTAAATCAATATGGTGCATCCATCTACACTCAAGAACAAAATACAACGTCGATATGAAAATACATCCAGGATAATGCTTATGGGAAATATATATACTTTTTTTTGAGATAGGATCTTGCTTTGTCACCCACAGCTGAAGTGCAGTGGTGTGATCACAGCTCACTGCAGCCTCCGCCTCCCGGATCAAGTGATCCTCCCACCTCAGCCTCCCAAGTAGCTGGAACTACAGGCACGTGCCACCATGCCCAGCTAATTATTCTTCTTATTATTATTGTAGAAACAGAGTCTCACTATATGGCCCAGGCTGGTCTTGGCCTTTTGGGCTCAAGCGATCCTCCTGCCTCAGCCTCCCAAAGTGTTGGGATTACAGACATAAGCTACCATGCCCTGCCTAGAATACATACTTATAGTATAACTATAGTTGTGTAAGAGGAAAACTACACCCTAAATGTATATCATAAACACACAGAACTGGTTTAGAAGGCTCTCTACCAAATGGTAAAACAATCTTCTGACAAGGGGAGGTGTGGGAGATGTTAAGGAAGACTTTTCACTTGATCACTTTATATTTATTTTTTCACTGTATTTAAAACAAAAAATTTATGATAATGTATATAAATATATATATTATTCATGCAATTTCAATAACTAAAAGATAAGGAGAAAACAGGAACCTGAATATGCAGTGCTCTGAACACCTGCCACCTCCTATTACTCAGCCTCTCCATTCATATCATGTCACCTAGTAGAGCTCTTAGAGCAGGTGTCCAATCTTTTGGCTTCCCTGGGCCACACTGAAGAAGAACTGTCTTGGCTACACACAAAATACACTGACGCTAACGATAGCTGATGAGCTAAAACAAACAAAAAAGATTGCAAAAAAAATCTCATAATGTTTTAAGAAAGTTTACAAATTTGTGTTGGGCCGCATTCAAAGCCAAGAGCTGCAGGTTGGACAAGCTTGACCTCAAGACTTGGCCTGGGAGAACTGGTCAGCACAGGAGAGAAAGATTTTCTCCGAAATACGCACTGCTGCATCCTGCAGTCACTGAAGATCATTTCCAAATCAGTTTCCCCACCCCCGAGAGGAGGCCATTTCTAAAGATGAAAAACAAAACCCCTCAAATGTAGCTGTTATGTTTTTAAAAGTGGCACATATCACCTTTATCACCTTGTTGCAGCTTAAGTCAGTCTCTAATACACATAAGGTAATGCAATCACATGTGGTGGGGGACATTACTGACAAAGCAAATCAGTCCTAAAAACTTCTATTCACCTGATCTTTCTTCTTCAGTTCTTCAACTTGTCGGAGCTGTTCTGAAGTTAGCACAATCTCCATTCGCTGCATGTCTCTCATCAGTAAACGCTGAGATTCCAGAAACTGGTCATTGGCCTTCTGCCACGTATGTTTTAACTGGTTGTGTTGTTGTCGCTCTTGCTCCAAGAGATGGCAAACTGTTTAGGAACCCCCCCACCACAAATCAAAAACACTGAATTTTAATGGTAGGCAATTTCTTTTTTTTTTTGAGATGGAGTCTCGCTCTGTCGCCCAGGCTGGAGTGCAGTGGTGCAATCTTGGCTCACTGCAAGCTCTGCCTCCCGGGTTCACGCCATTCTCCTGCCTCAGCCTCCGGAGTAGCTGGGACTACAGGCGCCTGCCACCATGCCCGGCTAATTTTTTGTATTTTTAGTAGAGACGGGGTTTCACCATGTTAGCCAGGATGGTCTCGATCTCCTGACCTCATGATCCGCCCGTCTCGGCCTCCCAAAGTGCTGGAATTACAGGCGTGAGCCACCGCGCCCGGCCAATGGTAGGCAATTTCTTTAGCACAGGGCTCCTAGCCCAGGTCTGACCAATGGTCCACATCTCTAGGATTCTGTCCTTGGCTGGACCAAGGGGCAACCTATCCCCACACCATCTCTTTAAAGCAGAGTCTCCCAAAGTGCACTCCTAGGAATACAGCAAAGAAAGATTTCTGTTCTTAGTAAGTCTTAGAAACTTCAAGTTAAAGGGAGAAATTTATTATTATTGTTATTTTGCAAAGGCTCCTCCATAATTAAATAAATTTTTAAAGATTTCTTTACTGCAGGACTTTGAACTCGGGGTCTTAATTATGTCTATGTTTTCTTGGAAGGTAATATATAATATAGCCTTTCCCAAATTTATTTGACAAAAGAAAAAAAAAAACTTTTCACAGTACAACTCAAATAACAAGTACTCTAGGGAATATACTTTGGGAAACATTGCTCCAAAGGCCAAAGGTGGAATAAACACTCCTAATTGTGTTTAATACATTCTGATAAATCTGTTATCCAGAAATCCTCGTTGGGTCCGGTTAATATAGACTTCTTATGACAAGTCAAGGAATCTTTGTAAAATGTATGTGTTGTTGATACTCATCAGCTCAGCCATCTTCTGCTAAAAAGAGAATAGGTAGCATGATCTATCCACCCATCTACCAAGCCACCCAAGCCAACTCATACTTCTGATTTTTCCTCACCCCAACATATTCAACTATGACAGAGACCTGCTAACTCGGCCTTCTCTGCAATATGATATATCTATCTTCTGGCTTCTGCCTTAGACCAGCACTTATGACTTAAACAACTACAACAGAGGCCCCTTTTTTATTCTTCTGCCCTCAGTCTTGCCCTCCCTATTCTATTCACCACAGTGCTATGAGACTGAACTTTCTAAAACGCAAAACTAATATTACCGCTCTCCAGTCTAAAACCCTTCACTGAAGCCAGACACAAAAAGGCACATATTATAAAATCCCATTCACATCAAAGTCCAGAATAGGCAAGTCCACAGAGATAGAAAGTAGATTAGTGGTTGCCAAGGGCTGGAGGTAGAGACATAGGAAATGACAGTAAATGGGTACAGGATTTCTTTTTGAGGTAATGAAAATGTTTGGAATTAGACAGTGGTGATGGGGCACAATTTTGTGAATATATTAAAAACTACTGAATTGTATACTTTAACGAGTGAACTTTATGGCATGCAAATTTTATCTTAATAAAACTATTATTTAAGAGAAAATAGGCCGGGCGCAGTGGCTCATGCCTGTAATCCCACCACTCTGGGAGGCCGAGGTGGGCGGATCACGAGGTCAGGGGATCGAGACCATCCTGGCTAACACAGTGAAATCCCATCTCTACTAAAAATACAAAAAAATTAGCCAGGCATGGTGGTGGGCATCCGTAGTCCCAGCTACTTGGGAGGCTGAGACAGGAGAATGGCGTGAACCCAGGAGGCAGAGCTTGCAGTGAGCCGAGATCGCGCCACTGCACTCCAGCCTGGGCGACAAGGGCAAGACTATCTCAAAACAAAAAAAAAGAGAAAATAAAAAACCTTCAGAGGATCCGAACTGCCCAGATGATCAAGTCCAATATTCTTAGCATAAGACCTCTATGTCCTGGCCTGTTTCTACTGCTCCAACCTCACATTTTGCCCATTGCCTCTTGTATTCTAATTGTGCTGAACTGCTTTTCTTAGACTTCCTTACCTAGCTGCATCACATGCAAATGGCCTTGAATGCCATGCTTCTCTCTGACTACCTGACAATCCCCTACCCACCTTCCAAAACTCCATTTAAGAACAACTTCTTTTAAGAAGCCTATCTGGGCTGGGCGTGGTGGCTCACGCCTGTAATCCCAGCACTTTGGGAGGCTGAGGCGGATGGATCACCTGAGGTCAGGAGTTCAAGACCAGCCTGACCAACACGGAGAAACACCCCATCTCTACTAAAAATACAAAATTAGCCAGGCATGGTGGCGCATGCCTGTAATCCCAGCTACTTAGGAGGCTGAAGCAGGAGAATCACTTGAACCCAGGAGGTGGAGGTTGCAGTGAGCCGAGATCACACCACTGCACTCCAGCCTGGGCAACAAGAATGAACCTCTGTCTCAAAAAAAAGACTCTATTTTTTATTGTGAGTGTTTCAGTATGGAAATTACTCCATGTCCTTCCTCATTTTAATTAACCTTCTCGGATACTTTTCAAGGTTTATTAGGAAGGTTGGTAGTCTCAATAATTTACATTATTTCTGGAAGTGTTAGAGGGACATAGTTTAAACTGAACTAGTTCTTTTGGACACCTTTAAGAATATGAGTGTCTTTTTATTGCAATAGCACACTTGGAAATTGTTTCCTGAAGGCCAAAACTTCACTCAAAGTTTGGGTTATTTTCATAATATTTTAGTGGGGAAAGAATGTACCCCTGGAAAATAGAGTCAATTTCTGTATCACTGAGCTACCAGACTAGTGAAATCAAAATTGTCCCCTTAAAAACAGAGTGTTACTTAGGGCCTCCAGAATACACTCTCTGCCCTCTTCCATTTTCACTTTTGCTAATACACCTCCATCAAAATGAGTGTGGGGGGAAAAGTAGTTGAAGCAGAAATTCCCAGCTTTATTATCTCTCTGCCCAGAGCTCACGCCTGGTGATGTTTTGTTTGTTTGTTTGTTTGTTTGTTTGTTTGTTTGTTTGTTTTGAGATGAAGTCTCGCTCTGTCGCCCAGGACAGAGTGCAGTGGTGTGAGCTTGGCTCACCGCAACCTCTGCCTCCTGGGTTCAAGTGATTCTCGTGCCTCAACCTCCTGAGTAGCTGGGATAACAGGTGCGCATCACCACACCTGGATAATTTTTGTTTTTGCAGTAGAGACGGGTTTTCGCCATGTTGGCCAGGCTGGTCTCAAACTCCTGACCTTAGGTGATCTGCCCACCTTGGCCTCCCAAAGTGCTGGGATTATAGGAGTGAGCCACTGTACCCAGCCACCTTGTGAAGTTATTACTGAGCTCACGAAGGAAAAACCATAATTTCAGCTTTGCATGAGTACATTTAAACCAACTACAAGGCTTAAATTGAATCACTAACATGTTGCATTGTTATTTTAAGATTTGTCACTGTTATTAGTCAACATCAATTTAACTTATATGGTTCTTAGAGACAAAGATAAAAATATACAGTATATTTACCTTCATGCAATTCTTTCCGCAGTTTCTCAGCATCTTCCTGTAGAACAGATTTCTGAGTATTCAAAACAGCTACATACATCTCTAGATCAGTCCTACAAGATTTCTCAGCTTCCAGATAATGATTCAGTTCTTTAACCTGAAAGAAGATGCAATTCCATTAAACTGAAATTTACAACAGTTTCTATCTTAGATACAGAATGATGGTAAGTTCTGGCTATGCCTCAAAAAAATTTACACTTACTTTTACATCTACATAAATTAACATTTATAATTTTTAATTATAAAATATGTACTATAGAAAACTGGGAAAATAACTTAATAGATGTTATCCATAATCACACCACCAGAATAAAATATACAATTGAGATTTCACATAACAGCTTTGTCCCTTGCTTTTCAAAAAGGCGGCTCCAATTTGTATTCCCACATCAACATATGCATGTATCTGTTTCAGCCATAACAGTAACACCAGGTATGTTTTGCTTTTTTAAATCGGTAGTTAATTTCTAAGGACAAAAACGATACCATACACTTTTAAGTTTGCTTTCCTTTTACTTCTGGTGAGGGAATTCCAAATGCTTTAAATGTATAAAAAGAAGACATTTTCACAGATACATATACTCATGGAAGTAAAAAAGAGGAAATTATAATGGAACAAATAACTAGTCTCACACTGTAATGACTTAAAGGCAAATGCAGAATACTTTTTAAAATCACATCTTGCCCAGGTGTGGTGGCTCACGCCTGTAATCCTAGCACTTTGGGAGGCAAAGGTGGGCAGAATGCTTGAGCTCAGGAGTTTGAGACCAGCCTGGGAAACACGGAGAAACCCTGTTTCCAAAAAATAACAATAAAATAAAACCACATCTTTAAAAAAAATACTTTTTTTCTGTTGATCAATTAAGTGTAATACTCAAAATAGTAACAATATAGTCTAATATAGGAAAGTTATAACCAAAAAAAATACAATTCTTCCCCAGAAAATCAAGGATTACGTCACTTTAGACTGTCACATAAATTGTCCATTCTAAATTCTAACCCTTTAGTTAACTTTCAACTTTTTCAAATGGTTATATCTAATATCACATTCAAGGTCCTTTTCATGCCTTTTATCTTCCTATTTCTTCAAACTTAAAGTGGCTTATCTGTTTTCAGTTATCTTTACTCCTAGGCCATCATGCAATAATAGTCAAAGACTTAAATGACCATTTAAGCAATCATTTGATGCTTCACTGAAGGTTGACAGTCCAGCACATGATATGAACAAAGAATGGTAAAGTTGCAACTATCATGAAATACTTTCTCTAACACCTGAGGACGGTGGTAATTCAGCTGATGGTAAAAGAGTCCGTATGGCAGATTTAAAATGGTGGTATATAACCCACTAATTCTACCAGTTATTACTTTTTGGAATAAACATTTGGTTTAATTAATAATGAATTTCTAATATTTGAAAACTACTGAGCAGGACCCTGGGAAGATGATGGCAATAGTGACATACTATTTGAATTACTTTGAGTTCCATACCCTGGAATGACCAAAACCAACAACAAATGGACATCTACAAAAAGCCAGGTGACAAGGAGAGGGTACAAACAAACCACTGAAAGCCACCTATTCAGAAAAATGTACGTGGTATCAGGATCTATGCAGGAGAAAATACAGAGAAGCAATGAGGGTCATGAGAAACCAAAAACAGTCAACTGGGAGGACAATGTGACAACAGTGCCTTAAACGGAAGAGTTTCACATACACCAGTAGTCGGTGAATGCAACCAATTTCTCTATAACCCTTACAACCTGGTTAGGGTAAAATGATGTCCCACTTTCATTTACATTTCCCCAATTTCTAGTGTGGTTGAATGTTGACTATCTTTTCACACTCCTTGACTATTCTGGTTTCCTCTTTTGTTAACCGACAGCTCATACACTTTACCTGTTTATTTTTTTTTATTTTTTTTTCTGAGACGGAGTCTCGATCTGTCGCCCAGGCTGGAGGGTGGTGCCGCGATCTCAGCTTACTGCAACGTCAACCTCTGGCTCCTGGGTTCAAGCAATTCTTATGCCTCAGCCTCCCAAGTAGCTGGAATTACAGGCATGCGCCACCTAGCTATACTTTACCTGTTTTTCCTTTTTTTTTTTTTTTTTTTTTTTTGAGACAGTGTCTTGCTCTGTCACCCAGGCTGGAGTGCAGAGGCACGATCTCGGCACACTGCAAGCTCCGCCTCCCGGGTTCACGCCATTATCCTGACTCAGCCTCCCAAGTAGCTGGGACTACAGGTGCCCGCCACCACGCCCGGCTAATTTTTCATATTTTTAGTAGAGACCGGGTTTCACCGTGTTATCCAGGATGGTCTCCATCTCCTGACCTCGTGATCCGCCCGCCTCGGCCTCCCAAAGTGCTGGGATTACAGGCACGAGCCACTGCGCTCGGCCACTTTACCTGTTTTTCTTCAGAATTATCTGTCACTTGTGGACTTGGCAATTTTGAGAGAGAGTCTCACTCTGTTGCTCTGGCTGGAGTGCAGTGGCACAACCTACGCTCACTGCAGCCTCCATCTCCCGGGTTCAAGTAATTCTTGTGCCTCAGCCTCCCAAGTAGCTGGGATTATAGGCGTGCACCACCATGCCCGGCTAATTTTTGTATTTTTAGTAGAGACAGGGTTTCTCCATGTTGCCCAGGCTGGTCTCAAACTCCTGGTCTCAAGCAATCTAAATACTGGGATTACAGGTGTGAGCTACCACGTCCAGCCAACTTAGCAATTTTATTATTTTGGATATTAATATTTTGTCAGTTATGAGGTATTGATATCTTCTTATAGTCTGTAGCTTCTCTTTTCAACTTTTTGTATTAATAGTATCTTTTAACAAAGAACTTTATATTATAATGTAGCTAAACTTGCCAGTTTTCCTTTCACAGTCAATATTTTTGTCTTATTTAGGAAACCTTGGGCCAGGCACAGTGACTCATGCCTGTAATCCCAGCACTTTGGGAGGCCAAGGTGAGTGGATCACATGAGGTCAGGGGTTCGAGACCAGCCTGGCCAACATGACAAAACCCCGTCTCTACTAAAAATACAAAAATTAGCCAGGTGCAGTGGTGCACGCCTGTAATCCCAGCTACTTGAGAGGCTGAAGCAGGAGAATCGCTTGAACCTGGGAGGTGGAGGGTGCAGTGAGCCAAGATCATGCCACTACACTCCAGCCTAGGCAACACAGCAAGACCCTGACTCAAAAAAAAAAAAAAAAAAAAAAAGAGAAAAGAAAGAAAGAAATCTTTTTGAAGACAACAAGGTGGAGAGAGTGGGTCTACCTATCAGATAGTACGACTTGAAGTAAAGCTACTATAATTAAGATAGTTCGTTACCGGTTTAGAAATAAACCTGTCTCCCGGGCTGGAGTGCAGTGGCCCAATCTCAGCTCACTGCAACTTCCACCTCCTGGGTTCAAGTGATTCTCATGATTCTCATGCCTCGTCCCGAGTAGCTGGGACTACAGGTATGCACCACCACATCTGGCTAATTTTTGTATTTTTTGTAAAGAAAGAGTTTCACTATGTTGTGCTGGCTGGTCTTGAACTCCTAAGCTCAAGCAATCTGCCCACCTCAGCCTCCCAAAGTGCTGGAATTACAGGCATGAGCCACCGCACATGGCCAGATAATAATTTATTTATTTTGAGACGGAGTTTCACTCGTCGCCTAGGCTGGAGTGCAATGGTGCGATCTTGGCTCCCCGCAACCTCCGCCTCCCAGGTTCAAGCGATTCTCCTGCCTCAGCCCCCCAAGTAGCTGGGATTACAGGCGGATGCCCAGCTAATTTTTGCATTTTTAGTAGAGGCAGGGTTTCACCATGTTGGCCAGGCTGGTCCCGAACTCCTGACCTCAGGTGACCCACCTGCCTTGGCCTCCCAAAGTGCTGAGATGGCAGGCGCGAGCCACCACACTCAGCCAAAAAGGGTATTTTTTAACAATCCATTCTTCACCCACTGATTTGTAATGCCACCTGTCATATATCAAATTTACACATATATAGGTCTGTTTCTGGGCTTTCTGTTTTATTGATCCATTTGTTTATCCCTAAACCAGTAACAAACTACCTTAATTATAGTAGCTTTACTGTGGTCCTGCTATCTGGTAGGTAGGCCAAGTCTCCTCATCTTGTCTTCAAAATTTTGCTAAGTATTTTCCTGTTCCTTCACTTCTCTATATGAAGTCTACTTCTAGAACTGAATTATCAAGTTCCTAATTAAACCCTATTGAAATTTAAGTAAAATTTAAAAATTTGGGGATACAATGTCTACTTTATAATGCTGTGTGTGTGTGAGACAGAGTCTCGCTCTACTGCCCAGGCTGGAGTGCAGTGGCACGACCTCAGCTCACTGCAACCTCTGCCTCCTGAGAGATTGGCACTACAGGCTTCCGCAACCATGCTCGACTAATTTTTGTACTTTTAGTAGAGACTGGGTTTCACCATGCTGGCCAGGCTGGTCTCAAACTCCTAACCTCAGGTGATCCCCCTACCTTGGCCTCCTAAAGTGCTGGGATTACAGACGTGAGCCACTGCACCCGGCCCAATGCTCTATCTTTTCATTCAGGAAAATACAGATTCAGGTCCTCATTTATTATGTAGTCTATAAGGACCCTGCCCATCTTTATTTAGCTATATTGGTAGCTAACTAGTTTTTCTTTTTCTTTTTTTTCTTTTTTTTTACTCTTGTGAATAGGATCAATCTTTTTTCCACCACTGCATTCTTCAACTGGTTATCACTGGGGCATAGAAAAACAATTATCTTAGTATGTTGATTTTGTTTGAACAACTTTCAAATTGTTGAACTCTTATTAGGTCTAACAATCTGTTGTACATTCTCTGGTTTCTTTATACAGACAATTGAATCAGTCTCGTTGCTTTCTTTCCAGTTCTTATGCCTCATTTCTGAATTACTGAGCATGGGTCTGCCCCAGAATGTTCCCACCATTAATGGTAAGGCTGCTAAATATTCACCCTTAACTATGTTTGCCAAAGGTTTGATAAATAGCCCTTTACTAAGTTATTGAGTGGTCAAATTTCTCAAATACCTCTCTGAATCCAAAATGAATATAATGCTGTTCTTCTACAATCATTTCACGTGTACACTGCAATGATAGATTTTCCGATAAATTTCTGGGAATACACCCTACTTGGTCATGATGTATTTCTCCCCCTTTATTTTACCTACGATGTTGAAAATTTTAGCTTCTGTATTCCTGAGACAGATCTATAATTTCTTCTCATACTACCTTTCTATGTGTTTGCTCACTTGTAGTGAAGATCTACTAGTCTCATAAAAACAGTTGGAGAGCTTTCTCTCTTTTTGTATTCCCTGAGAGTTCGTAAAATATAAGAATTTGCTCTTTCCAGAAAGTCTGGAAAAACTTACCTGTAAAATCAACAGTTTAATATCTTTTGGTGAGAGGAGGCAAGAGACAATAAGATTTTTTACTCTAGATCCACTTTCTTTAATAATTACTGACTACCTTTCCTGTTTTGGAATAATTTGGGCTAATTATCTTTTATTAGAAATTTTTTCATCTGTTTTCAAATTTATTTGTGTGACAGTTTATAGTATTTGTTATTTTTAAATTTCTACTGATTTGTAGTTATGTTCTTTTTTTTAAGACAGGCTCCCTTGCCCAGGCTGGCGTGCAGTGGAGCCACCATGGCTCACCACAGCCTCAACTCCTTGGGCTCAAGTGATCCTTCTGCCTCAGCCTCACAAAGTGCTAGGATTACAGGCATGAGCCTCTACACTCGGACTCACTTCTGATTTCTCATTTTTGTTTTCATTTTTCCTGATCAGTCTTACCAGAGATTTGTCTATAGTTTTTCCATTTTTTCATTATATTGATAGTCTCTATTGTTCTTTTGCTTTTCTATTTCACAAATTCCTATGTTTATATTATTCATTTCCATTTATTTTGTTTGTACTTTTTTTTTTTTTTGAGACGGAGTTTTGCTCTTGTTGCCCAGGCTGGAGTGCAATGGCAAGATCTCAGCTCACTGCAACCTCTGCCTCCTGGGTTCAAGCAATTCTCCTGCCTCAGCCTCCCCAGTAGCTGGGATTATAGGCGCCCGCCACCACGCCCAGCTAATTTTTTGCATTTTTAGTAGAGATGGGGTTTCACTACGTTGGCCAGGCTGGTCTCGAACTCCTGACCTCAGGCGATCCACCCACCTCAGCCTCCCAAAGTGCTGGGATTACAGGCATGAGCCACTGCGCCCGGCTCAGTTTGTACTTTTTTTTTTTTTTTAAAGATCTGGCATTATTCACATCATTCTAAATATTTTGTAATTACTTTTTCCATGAGTATTTTTTTCATGTCCAAGCATTTTAACTATCATTTTAGCGTAAATACCTGAATAACCCATAGTTACAGAATTGGGTCTGTGTAACCTCAATTCTAAGATAATGTATCTAAAAATAACTATACCTTGTCCCAGGTACTATCCTAAAGGTTTATAGGTATTAATTTATATGTTCCTCATAATAGCCATACAGTGGCTACTATAGGGATTAATTTATATGTTCCTCATAATAGCCATATGGTGACTATTAAGGTGGGCTTATTATCCCCATTTCACAGTTGAGAAAATCAAAGCACAGTATGATTAAGTAATTTGCCCAAGGTAACCCAGGCTACTAAATGCTGAGCTCTTAACTATTATGTTCTAGTACTGTATGCGATACCATCTCACTCTTGGATACCGAGTTCTGTGTGTCAATTACAACTAAATAACTAACCTGATAGTTCAAAATGTCTATAGCTCTACTAATAATTTTTTCTGATTGTATTCTGTAAAGGTCAATTTTAATCTGCTACTATATTTGTGAAAGTCAGTTTCTCCTTGTAATTGTCATTATTAGTTTATGCATTTCATGACTATGTAAGGTGCATTCAAGTTCATGACTATTATATCTTATTGATGAACTGTTTATTAGATAGGATCCCTCTTTATCTCTATTAGTGGCTTTTCCCCCTTATCCTATCTTTGTGATACTACACTTGGTATATCAGCTTTCTTTTGGTTCGAATTTACATGGTATATTTTTATCCCTTTATTTTCAGTATTTTTTTCTTTCTTTTTTTGAGATGGAGTCTCACTCTGTCGCCCAGGCTGGAGTGCAGTGGTACAGTCTCAGGTAACTGCAACAATCTCCACCTCCTGGGTTTGAGCAATTCTCCTGCCTCAGCCTCCCAAGTAGAAGGGACTACAAGGCGCGTGGCCACCACGCCTGGCTAATTTTTGTATTTTTAGTAGAGACAGGGTTTCACCATGTTGGCCAGGCTGGTCTC